>NC_000021.9:45930503-46084399 GCF_000001405.40 Homo sapiens
AGGGTGGCCATCCGTGGCAAGCCCACCCTGCCCCTGGCATGCCTGGCAGTTGGGTGTCCCTCCCTGCAGAGGCAGCGCCATGCCTGTGGACAACCCCCCTCTCCCCCTGGCGTGCCTGGCAGCTAGGTGTCCCTCCCCACAGAGGCAGTGCCATGCCTGTGGCTGTGGCCAGAGAGAGCGCCGGTGCGTGCGCCAGTCATATTTTGAGCTTCCCTAGTTGAAGGGACCCTGCTTATCTCCTTGAGGGCAAAACATTAAACCTGTCTCTTCTTTGCTCTCCAGGAGAAAAGCTGCCTTTACACTCCTCCGAAGAAGCTCAAAATCTGATGGGCCAGTCATCAGGTAACACAAAGCCACACTGACAGGAGAACAGGCCAGGGCAGCAGAGCAGAGCCCCAGTGGGAGGAGGTGTGGGGGCCCTGCCGCTGCAGCAGTTTCCAGCTTCCATGGGAGGCTGTGGGCCAGCCTCAGGTGCTGCCAAGGGCGTGGGTGGTGCCATGCTGCCACTGTGGCTGGATGGTGGGGCCTGAGGTGCTCAGAGCAGGGCACCCCGGCCATGGGAGGCGGCCGTGGGAGCAGGAAATAGAGGTCTCACCATGGTGTGCTTTGGAAATGGGTTTTGTAGGACTACAAGCAAACCCTTAAGGAGGAAGATCAGTCTGTGCTGGATTTGCCTGCACCCCTCCCGACTTGCATTAAAATGTTCATTCCTCAGATACTGTGGGGTAGCACATAGATTTGTAGATTCAGTGACCAAGGCCATGAAACAGACACAGTTGTTTGCCTGGGGCTTAGCAGGTTCCTAGGTGCCCGTGAAGAAGATGCCACACACGCACCACACCTTGTGGCTCCATGTGCACATGGCCGGTGCCACAGTGGCTTCCTGGTGGCCAGGCAGGTGTCCTGTAATGACCCTCCCCTCACCAAGGCCCTGAGGACTGCAGTGCACACACATGCCAGCCACAGCAGGGTTAAATTGGGTGGGCAGCGATGGGAGGTGTTTGTGGCCTCTTTGAATGCTGCGGCCAGGAGACTTCCAGCGTGGGCTTGGACTGCAGGTTGGGGCAGCCTCCTTTACCCCTGGTACCTGGAATGTCGTCATCTTCATAAGAAACAGACTCACCTGGGCCGTGCTGTCCTGAGATGAGTGAACACGTCGGCCATGCCGTCCTGAGATGAACAAACACGTCGGCCATGCTGTCCTGAGATGAACAAACACGTCGGCCGTGCCGTCCTGAAATGAATGAACACATCAGCCATGCTGTCCTGAAATGAATGAACACATCGGCCATGCTGTCCTGAGATGAATGAACACCTGGGCCATGCCGTCCTGAAATGAATGAACACGTCGGCCATGCCGTCCTGAGATGAATGAACACATCGGCCATGCTGTCCTGAGATGAACAAACACCCGGGCCATGCTGTCCTGAGATGAACGAACACCCGGGCCATGCTGTCCTGAGATGAACGAACACCTGGGCCATGCTGTCCCGAGATGAATGAACATGTCGGCCGTGCCGTCCTGAGATGAATGAACACAACGGTCATGCTGTCCTGAGATGAATGAACACCTGGGCCATGCCATCCTGAAATGAATGAACACATTGGCCATGCTGTCCTGAGGTGGATGAACACCTAGTCCATGCCATCCTGAGATGAATGAACACATCAGCCATGCCGTCCCGAGATGAATGAACACATCGGCCATGCTGTCCTGAGATGAACGAACACCTGGGCCTTGCCGTCCTGAGATGGATGGACACCTGGTCCATGCCGTCATGAGATGAATAAACACATCAGCCAAGCTATCCTGAGATGAATGAACACATCAGCCATGCTGTCCTGAGATGAGTGAACACCTGGTCCATGCCATCCTGAGATGAATGAACACATCGGCCATGCCGTCCTGAGATGAATGAACACATCGGCCATGCTGTCCTGAGATGAACAAACACCTGGGCCATGCTGTCCTGAGATGAACGAACACCTGGGCCATGCCGTCCTGAGATGAACGAACACGTCGGCCATGCCGTCCTGAGATGAACGAACACCCGGGCCATGCTGTCCTGAGATGAACGAACACCTGGGCCATGCTGTCCCGAGATGAATGAACACGTCGGCCGTGCCGTCCTGAGATGAATGAACACAACAGTCATGCTGTCCTGAGATGAATGAACACCTGGGCCATGCCATCCTGAAATGAATGAACACATTGGCCATGCTGTCCTGAGGTGGATGAACACCTGGTCCATGCCATCCTGAGATGAATGAACACATCAGCCATGCCGTCCCGAGATGAATGAACACATCGGCCATGCTGTCCTGAGATGAACGAACACCTGGGCCTTGCCGTCCTGAGATGGATGGACACCTGGTCCATGCCGTCATGAGATGAATAAACACATCAGCCAAGCTATCCTGAGATGAATGAACACATCAGCCATGCTGTCCTGAGATGAGTGAACACCTGGGCCATGCCGTTCTGAGATGAATGAACACATCGGCCATGCTGTCTTGAGATGAATGAACACATCAGCCATGCCGTTCTGAGATGAATGAACACATCGGCCACGCCGTCTTGAGATGAATGAACACATCGGCCATGCCATCCTGAGATGAATGAACACATTGGCCATGCTGTCTTGAGATGAATGAACACCTGGGCCATGCTGTCTTGAGATGAATGAACACCTGGGCCATGCTGTCCTGAGACGAATGAACACCTGGGCCATGCTGTCTTGAGATGAATGAACACATCAGCCATGCTCTCCTGAGAGGGATGAACACCTGGGCCTTGCCGTCCTGAGATGAATGAACACATTGACCATGCTGTCCTGAGATGATTGTCCTGGTTATGCAGACATTTCTTTATATTATTTGCTTAACTTTAATGCCCTCCTAGGAAGATTTCCCATACTTTCCTCCCTTCAATCAAAATATCCCAAGTTCAACAGGTCTGGCTCACTCCTCTCTATTCATCTAAGGTCTACTTTGTTCAGGAATTTCTGTCTAGGACTCAGGCAGGACCAAGGAAATCTTTTCAGTGACATTTTAAATATCACTGTTTATGGAATGTGTATAGATAACTGAATAACCAAATAAGTGTTGTTTTGAAAGTATCTTTATTAAAAGAATATAAAGAACAGAAACTCTAGGCTTATATATGCAAAGGAAAAATAATGGAGAATTAGAGATGAATTGGTTCATTCAGCACCAGCTGATCCCCTCCTGTGCTGGACGGTCCCACAGGACCACGTCTGCCCTGTGGGGTCACTCCCTGCCAGGGAGACTGGCTGGCCACAGTGAGAGGTGGTGCCAGTACCATAAGACAAGATGAGAGGTGGCATTGTGGACAAACTGCCCCACCCAGGGCCCAGGGAGGGTGTGGCTGGCAGGGACGGGGGGCAGGGCAGAGGTGGTGGGGAGGAACAGGAGCTGTGTGGCTTTAACATGGAGTTGGGGGGCACAGGAGGCGCCGTGAGGAAGTAGGAGCTCATTGGGAGTCTCCAACCATTGGAGGTGCATTTTGGGGACCCCTCTGGTCTGTCTGGAACCTAGGCTGAGGGGCACAGCAGAGGCAGGAACCAGCAAGAGGGAAGCATGGGGGTGGGAGGAGGGCTCCCCAGTCTGGGGTATTCTGAAGGTACATCAGCTGGGCCTGCGATGGTTAGGAGGGGTGGATCCTGGGGTCTCCAGGGCCCAGGCTGAGCTGCAGAATCCGAGTTACAAGAACCACGTGGGGCCTGCAAGGGGAAGAGCAGAGTGTCAGCGTTAGACTTGCAGGTTGGAGCCGCCACTTGTCCAGGAAATGGAAATGCTGAGCACGAAGAGCAGAGCAGCCTCTGGCCCCTCCTGTGCCAGTACTCATGGGGCTTGCAGCTTCCAAGCAAGAGCAAATCATGGACTTGAACTCTGAGAGGTTGTCTTTTATCTGATGGTACTAAGTGGAGATTTGTAAATATAAAAGCTTAGGCTTGATGATCAATTAGACCCATATTGTCACTCTTCAACAAAGAAAGGTATCTATATAGAAATGTGCAGCTTTTCATTGGCCCTAGCACTTCATTTTTGGCTCAGTGATGCCATTAGGTCTCCTTGCTCCAAATTGGAAGAACTGCCTGGTGGGCCTGAGCTGTCTGAGCCAGGCTATGTGCAGGGGCCTCTGGACAGTTACATCAGAATCAGAATGAGAGGCAACTTTGCATGCTCTGCCATCTGCTGTCCCCTGCAGGAGGCCGGGGGGTGTCACAGGGAGGTGGGGCACTGTCGGGTAGAGCCGTGTGGGCCTCAGAACCAGTGGTGTCTCCTGAGAACTAAGGGAAAATGGGCACTCAGCATCAGTGTGACCAGCATGGCCTGTGCCCTGGGTGCTGCACAGAGACCCTGAGACATGCTGGATGGCCCTGCCCTTCAGCCAGGGGCCCACCAGGGTGGCTTTCCAAGGTGTCACAAGAGAGTATACAAACATAACAGGGGAGTGAAGTCACGCTGTGCACAAAATGAAAAAAACAAAATGTCCTGCTTGGGTTTCTCTTTCCTTCTTTTGAGAGAGGTTGGGACTAAGGAAATTGGGTGGCAGTTTGGGACTGAAGCTCACAGGGTCCTGGCCCTCTGGGCTGTGCTGACCCTCACACTTGGGCCAGCTCTACAGCCCTGTCTCACTTGACCCAGGAGAGTGAGGGACAGGCACTGGAGTGTGACTGTTAGCAGCCTTCCACCAGCCTAACCATGTCCCCTTGGTATACCCAGGTCTGGACGCCAGCCCACCGGCCAGCACTCATGAGCTCACCATTCCCAATGATGTGAGTATGCCCGCTGTACCTGCCTGTCCCTGGGTAGAAACACCAGGCACAAGTGGCTGTCAGCTCTGCTGTCCTTTGGGCAGAGGGACCCACTGCTTGGTAATGCCTTCACCACCCCAACCCCACTGTTTGATCTGTGTCCTCCCTCCTTTCCTTTTTAAAGTGGGTTTAATGCCCATAAAAAGTTATGTGTTTTTACATCCCTAAGATGTTGAACAAGCAACAGGCTAAAGGGGACTTCAGATATTAATCAGTAGTCAGATGAGAGTTGGGCTGAGAACCTATGTTGCTGTGGAGGCACTGCCCTGGTGCGGGCCAAACCTTGAAGAACAAGGTGGCCCAGGAATGCTCTAGAGTGGACCCACCTGCAGTATTATCTCCATGGGCCCTGGCCCCTCAGGAGGTTTGGGATTCTCCATGAGTTGGCTCCAACAGACTTGAAGCTGGTTGGATGTCACAGACTTGTCTAGATTCCTTCTAGCACTCGTCAGTCTATTCATGCCTTCAGCATACCTGAGGGTGTGGCCTTACGAGCTCCCCTCAACACACACAGTCCTCCCCAGAGTAAGCACGGGTCTTGAGGATAGAGAGGACTATTCTCTGAATGCTTGACTTATCCAGAAACTGAGAGACCAGGGAGGGCATGGGCCACATGTCCTTAAGGGATAGCTGCCAGAGCAGCAAGCAGAGTCCCTGTGTGGGCTGTGGAGGTGGCTGCCCCACTTACAGCTCAAGTGTCCAGGAGGCTTTTCTGCCCTAGAGCTGTGGACTTTGGGAATCTTCACTGTTCTGCCCCTTTACACCTGCTGGGCAGGAAATCTAAGCCCTGTTCCTTCCTTTCATACAAGTTGACCATAGGAAGCACAGATTTGGCAGTTCAGGGAGATCACCAGTCCTGTGTGTGGAAGATGGACAGTGGAGCAGGAGAAAAAGAGGCAGAAGAGAGCAGGGTCGCCAGAGGAATGGACCATGAGGCTGTCTGGCTGGTGCCACTGACCCGCCTGAAGAGCCATCTTCATTTGAGCCCCTCATGGCAATGTGCACTCTAGGCCTTCTTCTATCCCGGTTGCTGGTCAGGCACAGAGTCCCCATGTCTGCTAAAAGAAGCTCAGGACACTCACACTCCAGGCAGCATTGTGGTCCAGCCTTCTGGCATCCCCAAGGATTTCTGAGGTTGGCCCAACTTGAAAGGCAGCAGCACAGAGCCATCTCCCCAGGTGTGGGGTGGCACAGCCAACTGGTCCCTGCATTCTTGGAGGGAGGGGATTTTTCCCCAACCCTTTCCCTCACTGCAGTGGTTCCTTCAGCATTTGGCTTCTGGCATCCTCCTGAGTCTTTTCCTCCAGGTAGTAAAGCCACCAGGCTTTTCCTGTGGGGTTTTCCTTCTTTGGTGAGTCAGTGCTCACTAACACCAGGTTTGGTGCTCTTATCCAAACACTCATTTAAAATGGAAATGAGCTTTAAGAGAATGAGACATCTTTGGAGAGTTGGTCAACCTGTTTCCTGGGGTCTCCTTTGTACAGATGGATGCTGGTTTTCCCAGCTCTTCATCACTCACTTCCCATCCTCCTCCTGGGGATCTTCCTAGGGAAGAGACCCACTTCTCAGAAGGAAGGCAGCTTCCTCTTATCCCAGTGCCTTTGGGTACAGCCTTCCATGCTTCTTCATGGAAAAGGCTATTGACGACACTGTCAGGGGGCTTTCACCAGCACCCCCAGATTTTGTGGGGGATGTATCTGGGCTGCACCAAAGCTGATGTTCCTCACATGGTGGCTGCCTGCTACCTTCTTGGAGAAAAGGAAAAAATAAAATGGGCGTGCTTGTTCTGAACTTGCCTGTCATCTCGTCCACGTCCGTCTCTTGGTCACAGTTGGATCATGCTGCCTCAGCGTTCCTGCAGAAAGACACTGCTTGGAGGCAGGGACTCCTGAGACTCACAGGCTCCCCAGCACGGCCACTGGGGACACAGGCCAGTCCAGGGGCCCCAGCCCTTTGGTTCCCTTTCTGACGATCACTGTGGGCCTCCCTCACCACCTATTTCAGTCCTTGCTCTTGGTCATGCAGGCACTGGTGCCTGTGGTCACCCCTACTCTGCCCTAAGCAACAGTCACCCACCCACCAAGGCTCATGCCCCTTTCCTTGGTTCTTAGCTGCAGAATCAGCCAGGCCTTCTGCTGGGGAAAGGAATCTAAGGTGTCCGACAGTGGTCTCTAGGAGGAGAGGCTGCAATGGGAGTTGTTACTGCAGTTCCCGTGGAATTTGGCATTGACATCTGATTAGGAGGGGCCACATTATTTCAGAATATTTCTATCGTTCTTCTTTGAATTTGCAATGGAGGCACACAAGGGTGAGGAGAGAGGAGGAGAGGAGTCTGCTAACTGCTGGCAGGGTTTGCAGGTGCAGGTGGGGCCAGGTGGGAGGTGCCCTTGGGCTGCAGGGCTCAGCCTAGAAGGCATCCTCCCCTGCACTGAGCCAGCTGGCCTAGGGCAGGGCAGGTGAAGGAGGTCCGACCTCCCCACATTCCCTTCTCATGGCAGAGAGTGCCAGTATAGAAGTCACAGTGCTGTTCACCTTGGCATTTGTGGTTAGGCGGGCATGCCCTGGCTGCTCAATGATGTCCCATCAGCATTCAGACCCCACAGCTGTGTGCAGAGGAGGGGAAAGGCCTGTGGCAAAGGCAGCACCCTCCAGAGCCTGGGGAGATGGGCACCCTGAGCAGCACATTGCAGGGAGCAGAGGGAGAGGGCGGGGTGAGAGCAGGAGGGGGATGCGTGCCAGAGCACAGCTGGAGCGAGGCAGTTAGAAGACAGGGGCAGATGGTTAAGAGAAGAGGGTAGGCCCTGTTTGCAGGAGGGGCAGGGAGATACTTCCTCCAGCAGGCTCCGAGGAGAGATCCAACAGCACATGTGCACAAGGCTTTCCGTGCTGTGCGCTTCAGCAGACACCACGCGCTCCAGCGCAGAAAGTGTTAGGGAGGAAAGCGGCTGCGTGCTGGCCAAGGAGGGGTATAGGAAGTGGGGCAGTGCGAAAGCCCAGGAGCTGCTCTCCCTCCTGGATGTTGGCATCTTACAGGGACCTGTGGTCATGCTGCCGAGTCAGCTATGTTCCCCCTCCCCATGCGGGCCGTGCTGCTGTCCCTGGCCCCCATCAGAGATGAGCCCTTCAGATCTCTCTGCCACCAGGGAGGAAGATGCAGCCAGGCAGGTGAATGTGGCCATGTGCCAATTAGGAAACCACCCTCCTAACCCCAGTGGCACACTCAACACCACACACAGGTGTGAGCAGGGAGAGGGCTGGACTGCGGGTGGGGCCTTGGGAGATGTGGGTGGGGTCTGGGAGATGTGGGTGGGGTCTGAGAGGTGTGGGGGAGCCCAGAGATGCAGCAGGAGATAGAAGACTCCCAGCAGCCCTGGATTCTCCAGAGTGGGGGTCTCTGTGGATATCTACAAAGACTGAGGGTTCTGTAGTCCAGTGAGACAGCTGTCATTTCCTTGTAACCAGCAGAGATGGCCTCTAAGGTGAGCAGAGTTGAGACACCATAGGTCTCCTCAGGGACAAGGGCTGGCTGGCAGGGCACCTGTGTCCCACCATGGAGCTGCTGCTCACCCCACAGACTGAGCCCCTTCACGCTTGCAAGTGGACGTCCCTCCTGCATGCCGCCACATGGCCCAGCCCAGCCCTTCCATCCAGCGTCTTACTGGTGTAAGGACAGAAACCTGCTCCTGTCACTCAATTTCACCACCGTTCTGACACCCCAGCAGCCTCACGGGAGGTGGGAGTGGACTCTGCCTCAGGGCCCTCGGGGACCCATGTGCCCAGCTGCCCTCCTGGTGCCCTGTGCCGGGCACCCTCCAGTCTGGGGCTTTCTCTGCCACAGGTCTGGCCACGTCTCTTTCCTGTCCAAGCTCCAGAGCTCTCATCCGTGGCCTATGCGTGCATGAAGGGACTCCGTTCCATCCAATGGTGGGCATTGAGAGATGCCATTGGCTCCTGTGCAGTCTTCTCTGGGGGCCCGAGTTGTCCCCGACGCCCCTCATGGCTGCCCCATAGGCCCCGCCCTCCTCCCTCAGCTGCTTCAAGGAGCACCCTCATTCTTGATGACTGCCTTGGCCAGAGGCCACTGTGTTCCATCTTTAAACAGGGGTCCCAACAGGGGAATGAAAGGAGGCACCCGAATGGCCTCAGAGTTTAATCTAAGTTCAGCAAAAGCTAAGTTTTAGGCAGCAGTGAGCTTTGCTGTGGCTTCAAGCACACGTTTCTTCTTGAGCATTTGTGATGCTGCCTGTCTGGGCAGAAGGGGTCTCCCTGGGATGTGGCCAAGAAGGTGCAGACACCGCTGGGCCATGGTGGAGCCTCCCTGCTCAGCTGCTGGCTGCCACCTGTGGGTCGCTCCTGGACCCCGGGGTGACCAGTGTGGAGCACCCAGGCCGAGTGACTGTGCCTCTTGGCTGGGTGGGCCTCCTACAGGAGTGGGTAGCAGGGCGGGTCTGAGAGGGGCCAGCAGAGGCACAGGTGCTCTCAGCCTGACCTCGGGCAGGTGGCCTGGATCAGGCACCACCTGCAGGCAGGTGTGGGCGGGGCCTCTCCGGGGTGTTGAGCTCAGGTCTTGGGGCAGAGTCCAAGGCTGGCGGCCCGTCCCACCGGCCCCCTCGGGCGCACTGCCCACAGTCTTCAGGGGCTGGCTTGGGCTGTTCTCTAAGAAATCCCCCCGTCCTTGTTTCTAGCTAATAGGCTGCATAATTGGACGCCAAGGGACCAAAATCAATGAAATTCGACAGATGTCTGGAGCTCAGATCAAAATCGCCAACGCCACGGAAGGGTCCTCAGAGCGTCAGATCACCATCACGGGGACCCCGGCCAACATCAGCCTTGCCCAGTATCTCATCAACGCCAGGTGAGCATCTCCCAAGGGTCTCTGAGAGACGCCCGGAAAGGGACGCGCCAGCCGGCGTTACATCACCTGGACGGTCGGGGGGTGGGAGGAGGCACAGTCTGGGCCACACTCTGCCTCCCCTTCTGTCCCCTCTGCTCCAGGCTGGATGGTGGGGACAGGATGGGATGGTGACAGCCTCCATGTAGACACGGGGCCACCTCACTCTCCCGACCTCCCACCCGAAGCGTCTCCAGGGACAATCCCGGAGGCTAGAGAGGAAGGCAGGTGCTCCTGTGGCCTCAGACAGGTGGCCAGAACTATCCTGGAAGGCCTGACTCTTGTCCGCTCAGAGGTCTCCAGAAAGACCAATGTTTGGGGACTTTGCTGTTTTGCCTCCTTTTTCATTCTCATGGAAACGTGTAGGGACGGGCAGGACAGGACTCTGCAGGCCGCTTCCTTCCATGGGTCCCTGTGCACATGGGAGGGTCTGAAGCCACCTGGGTCCCTGTGACTGCACCCCACTCGGCCTCAAGCCAGTGCCCCACCCCCGCCAAGC
Organism: Homo sapiens; assembly: GCF_000001405.40. Lineage (NCBI taxonomy): Eukaryota > Metazoa > Chordata > Mammalia > Primates > Hominidae > Homo > Homo sapiens. The sequence continues at coordinate 45,940,735 of NC_000021.9, forward strand.
ACACCATACCACCAGTCCCCCCGCCAGGCATGCCGTACCACCAGCCCCGCCAGGCACACTGTACCACCAGCCCCCCAGCCAGGCACGCTGTACCACCAGCCCCGCCGGCCTCTGATGTAAGGAACATCCGTCCTCTCTCCCCAAGGATGTCCTACTGCAAGAGCCCTGAGCTGGGCTTGTGGGATGGGACGGGACGGGATGGGACTGGAGGGGAGGAGAAGGGAGGGGCCTCTAGGTGGACACAGCCCTGCGTGGGCCCTGGAACCCCTGTCCCGGTGACCCTTCTCTTACCTGCACGCCCAGTGAGTGGGTGAGAGGCTGCCTGGAGAGGACGAGGACACCCCCCGACTTTACCCACTGATGCCCCGCTGGGCTTCTGCCTCGATCCAGAGCCAGGTTGGGCCTCTTTCCATCCCTGTGCCACAGGCCCATGGGCAGGAGGCTGGGCAAAGTGCAGCATTGGCAAACCCAGGGCGAGCCTGGGGATGGGGCTTGTCAGGGAGGTTCCCGCCTGCCAGACCGCATTACTGACAGCCCCACTGGGACCCGTGCTTGGGGCCAGATGGCTCTTACCCACATACACTTACTCCTGTGGCAACCAAAGCCCCTTCTCAGATGCCAGGTGTGAGGCTGGGAAGGCCCTGAGCACCCCCAGGGGCCGACCCAGGGCTGTGTAGGGGGCTCCACATGGGGAAGGCCTCAAGCCCCCATGCAGGGCTGGCTCACACACCTGACGTGGTGATGGGCATGGCGGGGACCAGGGCGGGGAAGAGGCCTGTGTGCTCTGCTGTGGTCTCCAGCTCAGGACCTCCTGAGCTGACCGGGATGGCCTGTCCCAGCGAGCACAGAGGCCACACAGCCCGGCCTCACGTCTGCCCACTGATGAGGGCGTTGGTTGTGACCGTCTCTCCCTCTCCTGCCTTTGTCTGTTCCAGGCTGACGTCCGAGGTCACCGGGATGGGCACGCTGTAATCCTACCCAGCACCCTTCCCCCGCGTCACCCACCTGCCAGAGCCTAAGGCCCCCGGCTCTCGCACTCTGTACAGCCCACCTTCCCTGCCTCACAGATACCAATAGAGAGGTTTTCTTAATTAACAAAAGGACGTATGCCATGGAGAAACACACCCGCGCACACAGCTGCTCTCTACAGAGGCTGCAGGCTCCGCCGAGTCCCCCCTCAGTGTTATTTTATTTATGACTTACGCTCCCGTCTGCCCATGCACCGGCATGCAGTGGTAATTATTTTAGAAATATTGTTCCTTGGTGTCAGCGTAGCTGTCTGTCTTAGGAGCTGGGTCGGCGTTCCGACAGCACTTCCTGTCCGCCCTTCTCCTCTGCCATCCAGAACCGTCCAGAACTGTTGCCTGAGACCCCTCCTCTCTCACACAGCCCTGCCATGCTGACTCGGTTTCCCCTCAGAGCCATTGTTGTCTGGGCTCGAGTTTCTGCCCCAGGTTGTGTGCTGGAATCGGGGGGTGGCTCTCCTGCCACCCATGGGGAGCGCCAGGAGAGGAGGGTCATGGAGGATGTTGGGGCTCTGACCCCAGGAGTGGGGTGGAGGGCGGAGCCTGCTGGGGGCCCTGCCTTCACAGAGATGCCGCGTGCTGGGAAGGCTCTTGGGGTCCCCTGAGCGTCTTCCAGGGTGGCTGGAGAGCACAGACGCGCCAGGGAGCCCCCTCTGTGCTCCTCAGAGTTCAATAAATGTCGTGGCCCCTCCTCACCGGCTCTGGCTTGTCTCTGCGCCCCCCAATGCACCCAGGCCCCGGCACTTCCTTCCCCTGGGGAGACATTGCCCTGAGCCCAATGCTTATCGAGAAGCCTGGGTTTCTTCTCACACACAGATACCATTTCATTCCCCCTTTCCACAACACACATAAGCACTTCTATTTGTACTTTGGCAAAACTACTTAAAATGACAAACACAGAAACACCATTCCTGCCCGGGCACCAAAATGCCAGTTCCTAATTTGTGAGACTTACTCCCTTATAGCCGTTATGGGTACCAGAGGCCATGCCCGGTGACCCCCAGTGCTTCCACAGGTGGAGCCTATCCGCCTCACACCTGCTTGGGGACAGTCCACGTGGCTCACTTGGCAGCCTGTGCTCACCTTAAGAAGCCTGGCTCTGCCCCTGCTCAATCCTGAAGCCCTGGGTGTGACTCAGGCCCTCCCCTCAGGTGATTAATCCCTAACCCAGGCCCAGGGAATGGGGGGAGCCCCCAGGTGATTTATCAGGAAGGACAAGACCCGGGATGGATGGGGAGCCAGGCACCGGGGAGGGCAGGACTCGGGGGCTCCTGTCCCAGCTCTGCAGGCTCAGGGCACCACCTCCACACCTGGATCCTGGTGTTCACGGGATCTTCTAGAAGGTGGTGGGCCTGGGATGTGTGGACAGACATGGCTCACTGACCCCTCACTGGAGGTGTCTGTCAAGAGTCAGCAGTTCCAGGAGGATGGGAGTCTGGCCAGAACCTGGGGAGCCTCCAGGGGCCCAGGACAGCCTGCCCCAGGCTCCTAGCCAGCCACAAGGCACCCGCTCACAGGAGCCCCTTCCTGCCTGATCAGGCAGAAGCCGGCCTGTTTCCCAGACTCCACCTGGCCTGCCTCAGCCACCTGGCCCGTGTGCCGGCCTGGAGGGCCCCGACTCAGCCTCCTGGACACACTCCTTGCCCACCCTCTGCCCCTGGGAGGAGGCTCACAGGAGTGAGCCCAGTGTGGCACGTGGGCACACATGCTGGCACCTTAGGACTGGGGTTCCCGCCGGTGGGGCCCAGACACCAGGATGCGGAAGACACAGGCCTTCCTCAGCACCCGTGTCAGTGGAGATGGTCAGTCAACAGCGTGGGTACAACTGACAATGACAGACGCCGTGGAAATGAGACACCACGAGAAGAGAGGAATCAAAATGGGATGATCATGGAAGGATCCCTAGAAAGTGCAGGCTGGGCAAGACCTAAGAAGGTAAGCGGTTAGTTGCTCACTCACCTGGAGGAAGAACAGCAGGCAATGGAGCACTCCTGGTGGTGGGGGGCACTGCAGGTAGAGGGAGCACTCTGGGTAGAGGGAGCACTCCAGGTGGGGCAAAAACTCCAGGTGGAGGTGGGGAGCACTCCAGGTGGGGGAGCACTCCAGATGCGGAACACTTCAGGTGGGGGGAGCACTCCAGATGAACACTTCAGGTGGGGGGAGCACTCCAGATGAACACTTCAGGTGGGGGGAGCACTCCAGGTGAGGAACACTTCAGGTGGGGGGAGCACTCCAGGTGAGGAACACTTCAGGTGGGGGGAGCACTCCAGGTGAGGAACACCTCAGGTGCGGGGAGCACTCCAGATGAGGAACACTTCAGGTGGGGGGAGCACCCCAGGTGAGGAACACTTCAGGTGGGGGGAGCACTCCAGGTGAGGAACACTTCAGGTGGGGGGAGCATACTAGATGTGGGGAGCACATCAGGTGCAGGGGCAGCCAGAGCTGGGGTGGAAGGGAGCCCAGAGCAGGTGAGGAGGGGAGACGGGGGAGCTGGAGTAGCAGGGTGGGGGTTGTGCAGAACTCTCAGCCCCTCAGGACTCGGGAGGACAGAGGCACAGCAGAATCCAGAGCCCCAGCTGGGCGTGAGGGGGCCTGAGTGGGGACTCAGAGCCAGGGACCAGGCTCCAAACCAGAGCTGGAGGCATCCTGTGACTCAGGGCAGCTCACAGGGCAGTGCCATGAGCATTGATTGAGCACCTGTGTGGGCCTCACAGGAGGCCCTGGACTCTCCTGTGATGGGAGGCGCGCAAAGTGGCAATTCTCAGTTCTAAGGAATCAAGTGAGCATGAGCCTCACAGCCCTGCAGATCAGCGGTTCCCATCCTGCGCCTTCTTACACCTGCAGCGACCCAGCTCCCAGTGCCCCTTCCCCACAGTGTGAGTCCCAGTTCCACCCACAACCACATGGTCAAGGCCTCGGGCTGAGGAAACGTGCAAGCTTAGAACAAGGGACACTGGGGCACCCCAGCCCCGGTGGGCGCGCATCATGGGCGTGGGAAATGTGGCTGTTAGCTTCTGGAAGCCTATGGCCGAGTCTCCATCTAGCCTGGGCACTGGCACCTGGCCCAGGGCCACAGGGTCACACCCTGTCACTTACAGCGAGTGTCCCCAGGTCGCCAGACATCCCCGCACCTCGGTGTCCCGTGGACACAGCAGGATCTATGCCCCTTGCTTCCTCAAGGACAGTGGGGTGTCTGTGACTGTCAGGAAAGGGGCAGGAATTGGCTGACTCCAGTGGCGTAAGGTAGATGCTCACAGTAATTGGAAAATAATTGGACATTCTCATTAAGCAGCACATGTACCCAGGGCTTTGTCAGAAGGGCGACATCTGAGTCCCTCAGTTGCTGAGACTGGGAAATGAACAGACAACAGAAATGGGTTGCTCACAATTCCGGAGGCAAGGATGTCCGAGATGGAGGCGCTGGGTTCTGTGTCTGGTGAGGGCTGCTCTCTGCTTCCAAGGGTGCCTTGTTACCGTGACCTCGAGCGGAGGAATACTGCGTCCTCTGCATCCTCGCGGAGCAGGCCGGAGGGCTCCCTTCAGCCTCCTGTGGAAGAGCATTGGCCACCTCATCACCTCACAGAAGGCCCACCTCTTACTACTGCTGCGTTGGGGATTACGTTTCAACATGAATTTTCAGTGGCCTGCATGCAAGGCTACACAGGCAATAGCTTGTGACCATGGTGGACAGACCCCACAGAGGCCCAGGGACCCCCACCTCAGCGTTGGAAGACCCCCTCCCTGGGGCTGTGGGAGGGGTCTATGAGTTGCTTCTGACCTGTAGGATGTGGCAAGGGGCCAGGATGTCACTCCCTGGCACTGCGTAAGGCTCCAGCTCCCCTGCTGGCACTGGTGAAGCAAGCAGCCATTTTGGGGCTGCCCTAGAATGGCCGCGGCGACTCTCTGCCTCTGGAGGTGGACTGCAGGCACCTCTCCGAGCGAGCTTGGGAGCCCCAGCTGACAACCAGCCAACACCTGAAGCGCTCACTCCTGCAGCTGCAAGGAAATGAATTCTGCCAACAACCTGGGTGGGCCCAGAAGTGGGTTCTGCCCCAGTCCAGCCTCTGCACGGGAATGTGACCACCGGCTCCCCGATGGCAGCCTGGGAGACCCTGAAGAACAGAAGCCAGCTGAGCTGAGCCGACTCCTGACCCAGGAACCGTGAGTTAATACCTGGGTGCCGCTTCGGCTTCTATGCCTTCGGTCATTTGATACACGGCTGCAAAAGTAAGGCAGTGGCCAGACACGTCACTGGCACTCCCTCCTGCTTCTGCCTTCTGTAAGCTCGTGGGCGGGTTGAGGTCAATGGGTGCTCCTGGGGTGGCAGGCATCCCCAGCAGGCTGGGCCTGTCCCCAGAGGCTCCTTGGCCCGTGTGACCTCGGATCAACACATCCCCCTGGCATGGGGCTGTCCATCTGAGAGCCTGCTTGGCACGAGAAAGTCTCTGGTGTTGAACGCCATTTTCACAGTGAACAATGAGCCGGCATTCGTCCTAGAATAGGCAGTTTGGGTCTTGTGAAAATTTGACCATTTGCAAGTTTTTCCGAACGTTCTGTTTGAGAAGCATTGCACTGTCCATTGTTGACATCTCTGAAAATCTTACTGGGACCATGATTTTGTAAAATCAAGCTGCCTCGCCAACAGCTCCCTGTCACGGGCCACAGGAAAAGACGCTGTCCTTACAAAGTCGAATTCATCCAGGCGGCCCTTGGATGGCACAGCGGAGCTTCTCTTGCTGTTTTAACTGTATCTTCTTTCCGTCCTTTGGTTTCCAGAATCCAAGTCTTCTTTCGTCTCATCATTTTCTTTTCCTTCTTTGCTGTCATTATAATTATCCGTATTTTCTTGGTAACAACTGCCAATCACAAATGATTCTTCTCTGTATTGTTGTGGTCGTGACCCTGGAGCTTCCGGCGTCCAGTGTCGGCAGCAGAGTTTTGCTGTGTTTTGCTCTGTTTTTAACGTTTTTAACGCCCCCTGATTTTGCTTCGTACATTTAGCCTCCAGTCAATTCCTTCCTGCTCATCGAGTCTGAATCATGGCATGAGGAATAATTCTGAAACATAGATGCTACTATATATTATGTGTGTGTGTGTGTAAATCCATATGTAAGAGCAATTCAGATGGGTTTTTTGTTGTTGTTTGTTTGTTTGTTTGTTTGAGATGGAGTTTTGCTCCTGTTGCCCAGGCTGGAGTGCAGTGGCATGACCTCAGTTTGCTGCAACCTCCGCCTCCCGGGTTCAAGCAATTCTCCTGCCTCAGCCTCCTGAGTAGCTGGGATTACAGGTGCCCGCCACCACGGCTGTCTAATTTTTGTATTTTTAGTAGAGACGGGGTTTTACCACGTTGGCAAGGCTGGTCTTGAACTCCTGACCTCGTGATCCACCTGCCTCGGCTTCCCAAAGTGCTGGGATTACAGGCGTGAGCCACCATGCCTGTGCTCAGATGGGGTTTTAAACTCCAACTGCCTAATAGTACTCCAGTTACATACCACTGTATTCACATATGTAGGGATGTGGGGAGGGAGCTTTGTCACTGGAGTATTGATATTTGTCTCTTCATGCCATTTGGCGTGCCGTGCATGAGTGCAGATTTGCCGCCATTTCATCCGGAACTGCCACTGTGTATGAGGACAAGACACAGCAGACGCAGCAGGTGTACCGAGCTGTACTGAGCCCGTGGTCCCAGCAGGGTGTGTCTGCTCCGTGGAGCTGCAGGTGTGGCCCTCCCCACCCACTGCCTGTGTGATGGTGTGCTCAGCACTACCGGCCCATTCCCCGGGGAGAGGGTTCTCCTGTGGCCACAGTGGGAATTCCATTGCTTGCTGACAGAGGCACATGGCTGAGGACTGAGGGAACTTCCCACCAACCGGCTTTCGTGCTGAACCGTTTGAACTTCATTCTCCTCCACGACCCGCATATCCTAAAGCCGGCAAGGCCGCTCTTTGCCTATCTCCTGAACAGAGGTTGGGCTCTGGATGATCCATCTTCCTCCGGAGACTCTTTGTCCAACCCGCTGGCTCGCATTGGGATGGATCAACTTCATCTCACTGAAGTTGGGTAGGACTCCATGAGGCTTACTCTGCTCCCAAGTCACCCCCGCTTAGGGCACAGTGCCCAGGGCTGCCTCTGGGTGTCCACTGGTCCTTCCTCCTGGGTGGGTTTTGAACTTGACTTGTCGTCTGCCCAGCACCATTAGACCAGAGCTCTGTCCAGCTTTGAGCAGTTTTCTGCTGGTCTTCGTAGCCTTCTGTTGCATGAGGTTCACGAGCTGCAGATGCCTGGCTGAGCGAGCCAGTGGTACATGGTACTCCGGGTCCGCCGCCGCACCTCACGGGCCTCTCCTCTCTCCAGGACCCTAGCCCCTCTCCTGAGGCTGCTGCAGAAGCCCTCAAGCACCACAACAGATTTTTTAAAATTCAGCTTTTGAAATTGTACTTGGTGGGAATGTTTGTCTAAGTAAACGCCGTCACAGAAGTGCTGGCCCATGAACTCGAAGGCTTTCAAAGAATCTCATGGTTGATGTAAAAATCTCACGAGGCAGGAGCTTTCATTTTTTAAAATTAATGTAATAGATATTCTAATACTTAGTAGACGAATAAACTGTTCTCAGGAACTGTGGCGACATCCAGTCAGTGGTCACCTCTTGTTCCTGGTGGACATCACTTAGCACCAGTGCCGGCAGTTTTATAAAACAGAGGATAACGTCGCGGGACTGGCCGGCCTCAGAATTGCTCAGGGTTTGGACTCATGGAAATCCAAGGCACCCTGCAGCTCAGCCATGGGAGTTCACCTCCAACTCTGAGGATCTGAGGGAGGGAGGGAGGCCCTCTCCGGGGACCAATATTTGCCTCCACGTGGCTAAGGCCAGTGATGCAGGCTGTGCGGTGTGTTGACGGACTCGGGGAAGGTGGAGGAAGGAGGCCTGGGGGAGGGGCTCCTCTTACCCGGAGTTGCATGGGTGGATTTCAGGTTGACGGGGGCGGGGCTGCATTTTTAGGTGTTTCTACTGATAAGACCAAGGGTAGTTGGGAAAAAGCCCAGCACGTCAACAGCTCGACAGAGAGCAGCTCCCTGAGGTCGCCACCAGCTTCCCGTGGATGTTGATGATCTCATGTCCTCAGTCAACCCCGGAACCACAGAAGAGCACAGCGGGAGACCTGGGGAAAGGCAGACTCCACCGGGAGGTCGGGAAGCACAGTTCTCAGCCCTGCCCGGGCCCCCGTCCATCCTGCTTTGGAAGAGCACCTGGACTCTAGGATGAGGAGACGAGGCAGCGTGGAGACTCACCGCCTCCGGAGGACAGGGAGGGAGGAGCCGGTCGCCGCAGGCACGGCCTGGACGTGCTGGGAGCCGCACTTGGTGTTGGCCGTTGGGCTGATGCTTGTCAGGAGCCCAGGACAAGCTCCGTGGCTTACCTGGGATGATCTCATGTTTCTCTGAGGTAAAGGTTCATGATGAGTTTTCCTGCACCATGAAATACGTCAAATAACAATTTCCACTTTCAATCCTCGAACGCACAACGCTATAAAAATATATAAAAACTACTTTGACAGGAGTAAAAAACGTCATGCTAAAAGGATTAAGAAGAGGTTTGTTGGTTGATGAAAGGACGTGTGGCTGTGGCGAGACCTGAAACACACCCCACGTGGGCGTGTGCACTTCGCCCACTTCATGCCAAGTGCCGGCTGCTTTGTCGGCTTCGTTCAGCGTCACCCAGAGAATAACTTCTCTTTACCTCCCATGGGGATTGTCTTCTAATTTGGAGAAGTTGGATATACCTCTATTAAGTGCAGAGCTACACAGTAATAAAAAACACACTCTAGGACATTTTGAGAAAAGCAAATGTTCCAGCAGAAGCATCTGGGCCGGGCGCGGTGGCTCATGCCTGTCATCCCAGCACTTTGGGAGGCCAAGGTGGGCGGATCCCTTGAGCCCAGGAATTGGAGACCAGCCTGGCCGACGTGGCAAAACCCCGTCTCTACTAAAAATACAAAAATTAGCTGGGCGTGGTGGCGCATGCCAGTAGTCCCAGCTGCTCTCGAGGCTGAGGAGGTGGGAGGATCGCTTGAGCCCAGGAGGTTGAGGCTGCAGTGAGCCAAGATCGCGCCACTGCACTCCAGCCCGGGCGACAGAGACCCTGTCTCAAAAAAAAAGAAAAAGCAGCGCCTGGCTGTGAGGATTCCCGAAGGCAGCACCACCCCTGAGCAGACCCGTCTGCCCCTCCGACCGTCATGCACCAGCCCCTCCCGGTGCCCTGTGTCGTCACATGATGCTTGTTGAGGAGCCCAGGCGTCCACCCCCGCGCCTCCTGGCATGACGCCGACCTCACTCCTTGGCCCCCGGAATTCCCACAGGTGGGAGGTGGTCACAGAAGCTTTGTCGATTCCGTTCTCTTTTTGGCAAGGACACTTCCAGGTGCCTCTGCACGGGCACTGACCCACAGGTGGGCACAGGGCCATGCTCCCAGCCTGGGCCTGACGGGCCGGGGTGCAACCACCGCCAGCATCTACCATGCTGTGAGTGGGCGGCGGTGACGCACCCACCTGGGAATGGCAGCGAGTGCCCGGAGTGCCGGATTCCCCCCGAGCTTTCACGTCTAAGGATTACGAGGAAGACCTGGACTACGTGCCTTTATGAGATGCCTCCTGTGGGTCCCTGAGGCCGTCAGGTGCCACCTCACCCCTGCGTGTCCTGCGGAAACTGTGACCTGTGACTCCGGGGCGGGGTGGCCTTGGGGGCACCAGCAAGTGAAGGGTGCACCAGGGCACTGGGTTGGGGACCTTGCCCAGGACAACAGGCAGGGCTTGTCCAAAAGCCCCTGGCCCTGTTCCAACCCCCAGGAGGGTTCGAGCCCTTTCGAGGGTCCCATGCTGTGTCCAGAGCAGCCATGCACCCACCTTCTCCACCACAACACAGCCACCCTCCTTCTCCAGAGTGGCCTTTTACAAAGCACAATTACCATTACCTCCTGAGTGAAACCTGTCCTCGGGGCGGAGACTGCCCCAGGCCTGGCCTCGTACACACACCCCTCCTGCCCGCCTCCCTCCCTCCAGCCCTGTTGGCACTGCCCCGTGGCAGCCTCCCGCAGCGGCCGCCTCCGGCTCTGCCTCCTCCAGGGTGCTGTGGCTCCTCCTCAAGGGAGGGCGGCTGGGGGAGGAGACGCCTCAGTACAGAAAAGCTCGCAGCTGTTGTTGGGTCTGATCCCACCTCTCCTGCTGTTTCCTGCCAGGACAGATGAGGAGTTAGCTCTCCACTTCCCACCATGCCTGCCCCTCCTTCACAATCTTTGTTAATTATATTCTTACTCTGTTTCCATATTGAATAACTCACTTAAATTCTTACCATAAAAGATGACAAAGATACACAAAAGTACAGAGAACCTAAATACCTGATATAATGCATAATTGTAAGACACACAATTATGTTTCTTCGTCAAGAAACAGAAAATACCCAGCCCCTGACTCAGCTTCTAGAAGTAACCGGGCCCTCCCCGAGGTGTAGCCTGGGCCTGAACACACCTGCCCCGGGGGCAGAGCTGCTTTCTCTCCATCCCCTCTAACCGCCCTTCACAGCATCCTGAAGATTAAGGCTCCCTCCAGAGGTGGGAGGTGGTCTGGGCGTCCCTCCCCAGGCAGCACCAGGGGCTAAACCTCTCTTGGAGTTCACCCTGTCTTCCCCATGGGCACCTAGCGGGGTTCCTGGAGGCGGAGTCTGCAAAAAGATGGAACTTCCCTCTGTCTGCGGCTCCCAGGGACTCCACACTTCCCTGAAGCTCACAGCCTTCAGCAGTTTGTTATAAAATTTCCAATTCAACCATCTTGCCCTCCGTTGTGGCCTTCAGGTAAGAAAATGCCAGGACCCTGCAGGTGCCTGTCTCTGGGTTTCAGGTAAGAAAATGCCAGGACCCTGCAGCTGTCTGTCTCTGGATTTCGGGCTAGAGATTTGTCCTGTGACCTCGGTTCTCTGATGGGCTCAAGAAAAGTTGTTAATCTGCAGTTTGCACAGCTTGTTACTGAATGGAACTGGGGTCAGCCTGCCCAGCACAGAAAACCCAGCCCCGACATGGGGATTTGCAGCGAGAGAAAGCGAGGCGTTCAGTGCAGGGCACCAGGCAAGGAGAACCGGGCAACCCGTGCTTAAGACTGGCACTCTCTGACGGCTTCCGGCTCAGGGTTACTAAAAGCAGGAGGCAGAGGTCACGGGCAAAGCCAGAGATCAATACCTGGGGCTGCCCATTGGCTTCCCCTAAAGGGTGGGACGTCTCGAAGCCGGGGGCTACAGGTCATATTCTCTGATTCGTCATTGGTTAAGGAAGGGAAGGAAACTTTACCTGAAAACCCGGGGCCATCAGAAAGGAATGTTAGCTCTGGCCCATGGGCGTGACTTCCTCCAGGCCCCTCCGGAGGAAACTGAGGACAGAGAATGGTGGTCCCAGTTCAGTCCTCAGCACCCCCACCCCACCCGATGTCTGTGAGTGACGGGATCTTTTGTTTCTCTGGGGAGCCGAGCATTCGGTCTCTCACCTCCTTGGCTGTTGCTTTAAGCTGTTCTGACCTTCTTGCTTGTCACGTTGCTCACTGACTTTTTTTTTAATTTTATTATCATTATACTTTAAGTTCTAGGGCACATGTGCACAACGTGCAGTTTTGTTACCTATGTATACATGTGCCGTGTTGGTGCGCTGCACCCATTAACTCGTCATTTAGCACTAGGTATATCTCCTAATGCTATCCCTCCCCCCTCCCCCCACCCCACAACAGGCCCCGGTGTGTGATGTTCCCCTTCCTGTGTCCATCACTGTTCAATTCCCACCTATGAGTGAGAACATGCTGTGTTTGGTTTTTTGTCCTTGCGATAGTTTGCTGAGAATGATGGTTTCCAGCTTCATCCATGTCCCTACAAAGGACATGAACTCATCATTTTTTATGGCTGCGTAGTATTCCATGGTGTTTTTTAAAGCCAGCGACGTGCCTGGAATTTCCCCCGAAGGGACTCAAGATTTCCCTCGACTTCTGTGTTTGGGGCCCTGCTCCATCTCGAGTTTTCTCTTGTTACTGTACTGTTCCTTCCAGCTCGACACATCTCCGGGCTGAATCCCAAGCTATTGATTTTTAATTTCATCTTGTATCTGGCAAGTTTGCTAAATTGTCTTTGGCTGGTGATTCTGATGGTTTCTGTGGCTGGATTATGTCACCTGCAGATGACAGCCGTCTCTCTTCCCTTCCAATCTTTGCATTTCTTTCTTTCTCTTTCTACACTTAGCCGTGGTAGGAATAACGCTCAAAATCCTAAGGAAATTGAACACTCAAAGGATTCTTAGCAAAGCAGTTTTACTTCTGCGCAGAGGGGTGCCTCCTTGGCCAGTCGCCATGAGAGTACATCTGAACAAAGGGGCACGAGAGCCTTTCTTCCTGCCACAAGTCCTGCCCCTGCCCCCGTGCCCTTTCCCCATCGGCCGGGGTCGGGTTGTACAATCTAATCCCGGTTGGCTGAACATTTGAATTTTTTTAGATAAGGTGAGCACGTAAAAGAGAGGAAAGGGGAAGGGGTGTCTGTAGTGAGCTAGAAAGTTAGTCCTCTTTCCAAATAAGGACAGGAATGTGAGCTGGTACTGATAATGCCTGGTACTGTGGCATGCCTGGGCATCTAACAAAGGCAGAAAGGAAAAAGGAAAAAACCGTGTGAGGGGTACTCTGAATTAAAAGATTGATCAGGCTATTTGAAGAGAAACCTCGCCATATCCCACAGCCAGGACATCCAGTAATAAAACTTGAAATTAGGCAACTTTCCCTCTGTCCTTACTTTGCTAAGAGTTTGTATCACTAATGGGTATTGAACCTTGTGGGATGTGCTTTCTGCATTGGCCGAGATGTTTTTCTCCGTTTAGCCTGTGACTATGGTGGGCTACACGACAGACCTCCCAATGCATGTGCGTCACATTCACAGACAAGCGTTGCTTGATCACGTGTGGTTTTAAAAGCATACGCTGTTGGGTTTGGCAAGCTAATATTTTATTTAGGATATTTCCCTTCACGGGCCTGCTATTTGTTTCATTGTTTTGTGCCAAGCGCACCGGGAATGGTACCGAGGCAGGCCAGGTCTCACTCACGCAGGCCCCCGGGAACAACTGTTTCCACACCGACTGAGGGATGAGGATAAATATTAAAAGCTGATAGAGCCAGCGCCCTTATGCAAAGGCTGGACTGTAAAAGACGTCCCCTGAGAGTTTTGCCCAGGCCTCTCCAGGGCCTTGAAGCATGACAAGATAATGAAGGAATTCTTAACAGGACCTGTTTAGGATTAAACAAGTTTTACTGGGGTCTGAAGAAACTCCCCAGACCTCCACAAACAAGCTTCCTTGGAAACTAAAGGAGCTCCCTCAACCTCCGTGATTTAGCAGAGGGCAAGATAAGGGTGATCACCCCAGCACCTGGACCCAGTTAGATTCAGTAAATCCACTGAGGCTCCAGAGGAAGGTCTTCAGGACTCAGGCCTTAGTGATAGATGAGAAGTTCATCACTTATGTCTTTGGATGAGTGCACACTTACACGCAGACACAGAGCTTAGAAGGCACACAAGCTCTGGAAAACGTTGGTCTGGCGATAATTTCCAGGCCTTCTCCCTGTAACCGGTTAACTCACTCCTCTCCCAGTTCATCTGCGTCTCGTTACTGGGCCGAGAGAACAAGCAGCCCCACCCTCGGTTTGGTCTGGGAACAGCACCCAGCAGCTGAGCAGGCAAAAGCTCGGATTATCTTTAGCTGGTTTTGGAATTGGCTTATACCAGCCTTTTGCCCCTTCTCTAAGTTCTGGCTTGAGCCAGTTTGTCTAAGTTAAGCTTGAGCAGTTCCTTGAGTTTGGCAGAGTCTACCTGGGAAGCCTGGGGCAGGCGCGCGCTGGCCTCTTCCGGGGTCAGCTCTGGCATTTTGTTTTTTCTTGAAACGATCTGGGAATTCAAACTTTCTGAATGCAGCTGCTCATAACGTTCTTGTGATTTCTTTGATCCCTCTGTCTGCAGTTATTTCTGTATTTTCAGTCTCTATTTTTATTTATATTTTCCTCTTTTTTTGCTCAATATTGTCAAAATCAATATATCTTTTCAAAGTATGATCCTTGGTTTTTGCTACTCATATTATTTTATTTTTCTCTATTTCATTGATTTCTGCCAGTATCTTTGTCATTTCCCTTTTTCTTATTACTTTGGGATCATTTTGTTACATTGCTGTTTTTTCCAATTATTTCATTTGTATGATTAGTTCTATTTCTTTTCTTTTTTCTTTTTTTTTTTTTTTTGAAAGAAGGTCTTGCTCTGTTCCCCAGGCTGGAGTGCAGTGGTGCTGTCATAGCTCACTGAAGCCTCAAACTCCTAGACTCAAGCAACCCTCCCACCTCAGCCTCTTAAGTAGCTGGGACTACAAGTGCTGTTAGAAATACCAAAATTGTTCGAAATAGATAATCGGTGCCGCGAAGAAAAGTCAGCACAGACACAAAAGATCTCTCAGCAAGGCCATCTTTACTTTCTGCAGAAAGGGTGCTCAGTCACAGATGGAATGATCGCGAGAGGTCACCTAAGCAAAGGAAAGGCAGACATAATTAACCCTTAAGCATTTGGGTCGTCCTTACTGTTGTGTCCTGCATCCATTGGCTGGAGCTGGGCCTCACAGTCTTAAACTGATACCTGATTTGCTAATAACCTGAAACTTTCCTAAATAGGTAATTAGGAAAGGTCTAAGGAAGCAATAACATTTCCAAATAAGGAAGGGGCATAGGCTGTGAGCTGGAACGTGTCTGTGAGCATGTCCAACAATTACATGGGATAGGGCTTAACAAAGAGTTATTAGCACAAAGCAAGGAGAATTGAAGAAAGTCTTTAAAAGAAACTATTATTTCTAACACTTATGATGTATTCTTTAACAAGAAGGGGAAATTTGAAGAGGAAAACTTTTACTCTCTACAAGCGTGCACCACCACACCCAGCTAATTTATTTTTTCATTTATTGTAGAAGCAGGGTCTTGCTTTGTTGCCCGGGTTGGTCTGCAATTCCTAGGCTCAAGCGATCCTCCACCTCGGCCTCCTGTAGTCACCTGGGATTACAAGTGTGAGCCCCCACGCCCGTCCTATTGAAAATGTATTTATGACTGTATATTTCTAGGTACTCTTAACTGTGTCCTGTGACTTTTGACATACGGTATTATCATTATTATTCAATTCTAAAGAGGTTTTTCATTCCCTCAAGAGTTCTACTTACCCAAAGGTTACTAGTAAAATGTTATTAAATATCCAAACACATGAGATTCTCTCAGGTATCCTTTGAATATTCATTTCCAAATGTTTTGCATCATGGTACGAATTCATAATCTCCATGACACGGATCCTTTGGGGTTTACTGAGGCATCTTTTATGACCTAATCCAATGGTCTCTTTTTGTAAGTCTTCCACGTCTGCTTGAGTAGAAGTGTATTCTCTGCCTGCCACCCGCTCTATGTGGATCTAATAGCTGGTGACTGCGTTGTCAAGTCTTGAACAGCTTTGATGCTTTTTGTCTGATGTGATCTATGTAGAAGGCAGAATCATGGCCCCCAAAAGATGTGCAAATCCTAAACCCCAGAACCCATGAATACATCATATTCCATAGCAAGGGGGTATTAATGTTGCCAATTAATTAAGGTTTCTACTCAGTTGACATGAAAATAAAGAGGTAACTCTGGCTTATCCAGGTGGGTGCAATTTAATTACAAACGCTTAAATGGGGAGGTCAGGGGCAGAGGGATGATGTCACAAACACACCCATGTGTGCTTGGTGCAAAACAGTAAAACAAACAGCAAGAAGGTCCATGAAGGAAAGATCGCCTCTGTCAGTGGGAGTAATGAGAGTGGCTGATGGACAGGTGTGTTAGGCTGTTTGCACTGCTATAAAGAAATACCTGGGGTTGGGTAATTTATAAAGAAAAGAGGTTTATTTGGCTCACGGTTTTGTAGGCTACACAAGCATGGCCCCAGTGTCTGCTTCTGGGGAAGCCTTGGGAAGTGATAGTCATTGCAGAAAGTGGCCATGGAAGCAGGCACATCCCATGGCAAGAACAGGAGCAAGGGACAGAGTGGGCAGAGGAGCCAGGCTCCTTTAAACAACCAGCTCTCATGGGAACTGAGTGAGAACGTGCTCATTGCCAAGAAGATGGCTCTAGGCTATTCATGAGACATCCACCCCGTGATCCAATACCTCCCCCCGGGGCCCACCTGCAACACTGTGAAACACATTTTCACATGAGATTTGGAGGAGACAAAACCTCCAAACCATATCAAGTGGCACACTCACAAGAAAACGTGTCAGTGGCCAAGACGATTTGCAATGAGGACTGGATGAGGCTGGGACCCAACTCTCTGTCTCTGACATTCCTGCTCATCTCATGGACAGAGGCACTGATTGTTCTAGACCATCTTTCCAAGGGTGTTGTTTTGTGACAGCCTTGATAATATGTCCTTCCAGATCAAAGGGCAGGTTGCTTACACCCTAATCCTGAAGGTAAAGACGTTTTCTCCCTCCAAAGCAAAGAGCAGGCATGCTTACTGTCCATTATAAAAGATTCACGTTCCCTGAGCTCAGGGTTCCTCTCCTGCAGTGCAGTCCACGGTGTGTGCAGATGCCACTGGGCCCACTCTGTGTCACTGTTTGGGAAACGGGGCTCGGAAACTGGTGTGAAAAGTATGCTGATACTCTGTTAGAAAAAAATGCCAACATTCTGGCTACTGATATTGCTGTGAGTAATAAAGTACTTCATCCTTGAAAAACCAAAAGGCCCAGTTAAGATAAGGTGGACAGAAAAACACCTAAACAAAGGTAAGGCTTGCTATGGAGAGTCAAGCCAACACTGCCTCCAGTGTAAGAGTTTCTAGTGACTTCGTTCCCCTTCTTTTCCCAATGCAAAGACAGAGATGCCCTTTAAATGGAGGTTTCAGCTGGGCGGTGGCTCACTCCTGTAATCCCAGCACTTTGAGAGGCTGAGGCAGGCAGATCACTTGAGTTCAGGAGTTGGAGACCAGCCTGGGCAACATAGTGAGAGCCCATCTCTACAAAAAATACAAACATTAGCCAGGCGTGGTGTTGCATACCTGTAGCCCGAGCTACTTGGGAGGCTGAGGTGGGAGTATTGATTGACTCCAAGAATTCAAGCTGCAGTCATCTGCAATCACACCACTGCACTCCAGCCTGGGTGACAGAGTGAGACCCTGTCTCCAAAAACAAAAACAAAAGAAAAGAAATGAAGTTTCATTTATTGATGTAAATTGTTCTTACAAAGCATTTCAAAATAACCAGCTGAAAACAGTCCTATGCCAGAAGGCATCTTTGAGAAGCTAAGTTGGCTGCATCACCACTTTTCCAACCCAGCTCGAGGTTTTGGCTTGATCACTGAGTTAGGGCGGAGCCCACTGCAGAATGGGGCAAGCATTTCCTGGACTCAGCACGCTCGCTTCCAATCTTGCCTTATAGTCAGAGACTGGTTCATTTTTTATTTTTGTTTGTTTTCAAGATTGAATAACAGATCAGCCAGGGCTTTTTTCACAAGCAAAAAAAAAAGGGAGTTTGGGGGCATAGTACAGATCACAACGAGACAGAGCTGGACAGAGTGGGAGAGCACAGAGTCAGCAGGAGCTGGAGAAGAATTTCGTTGACCAAGAGATTCCCATGGGAGAAGCAGGACCAAATAGAGAAAACAGAAAGGACTAATTCTTAAAAAATGTGTTTTTGAAAATTTCCAAGTGTCGTTTGGACAGATTCAGATACAGGAAACTTTTGAACTTCATTTGAAAGTCCAGTATTTGAAATTGGACTACTTCTGTGTCCACCACAGAAGTATTCTTTTTCCTCTTAAGAATTAGTGAATGACTGTCTGGAACTCAAGCCCATGAGAGCTTCCTCTACTGGGAAAACAGACTCAGCCAGAGGGAGTGGGCCCATCAGATGGCTCGTACAAAAGTGGACAATTTCTTTTCCAATGGTCAGAATGGATTTGTTACAATGCCGAGAAAAGTGATGTTAGAGTGAAGTCTGTCAAAACCATCACCCTAGGAGAGCATCATAACACTTTCCCAAAAAGTAAAAATTCATAACTCCAGGGAAGAAAAATGAGAATCACTCATTTTTCTACCATCCAAAGATAACCAGTGCTGATACTTTGTTAAATTTCCTTTCTGGGGGTCCTTTTCTGTTTTTTTGTTCTGTTTCATTCTGACAAAACAAAACAAAACACTACCTCACACCCTATACCAAAAAAAAGTCAATTCCAGATGGATTTTAGATCTGCATGTCAAAAGTAAGACAATGATCTTCTAGAAGTAAACATTGGAGAAGAGCTTCCAGAGCTTGCAGTGGGCAAAGAGTGATACCGAGGTCACAAAACCACTAACCATAAACGAAGTTGATAAACAACTATAAAATAAAGAACTAGAAAGACAAAATATTCACAGTACACTTGTCTGACACAGAGCCTCATTCTAGAACGTGCAAATAAGAAGACAGCCCAAGAGACCAATGAGAAAAAGACTTGCTCAGACTCTTCAGAAGACATGAGAAATCAGTGGGCAACAAGCATACACAAAGGTGTTCGACCTCATTACCAACAAACATGCAAATTTAAACCACAGCGTGGAACTGCTGCCTGGCCGACAGACAGCTGAAATGAAACAGGCAGAGATGGCCTGTGGACAGAGGATGTGGAGCAAATAGAACTTCCAATGATGGCTGCTGGAAGTGAATAGCTCCTCTGGAAGATGAGTGGTGTCTCCTGAAGCTGAGTATCTGCGTGTCTGTGACCTTGTAGTTTCTACTTCCAGATGTGGTCAAGAGAACTGTGAATGTGTGTGCACCAGAAACATCCACTGGGACATTCATAGCACCCTTCTCATGACATCTCCACTCCACAGGCCACCCAAAATGAGTGAGAGAGTAAAATGTGGAGTGTCTGCGCACTGGGATGCTCCACAGCAATGGGAATGAACAGCCTGCTCAGACACACATCAACTTGGGTTGCCTCAGGGACCTTACGCCAAGCAGGAGATGCCAGACACAGAGTCCATCCTGAGAGAGTCTGTTCCTGTCCAAGCTCAGAAACACAGGAAGCCACCTGTGCTGTAGCAGCACGCGGAGATGCATCCTTTCTGGTCCACCCCACGGCCCTCATTGCAGTCAGGGATCCTCTCCCAGAAAGTCCCTGCTGCCAGCCCCTGCCCTTCCAGGGTGCACTCTGGACGTTGCTTCCGTGACTGGTCTCAACACCTCTCTCCACTGCTCAGGCAGCGGCCTTGGCTCTGGGAGCCTGGAATGTGCAGGAACCAGCTGGCCTTGGAGTGCTGCAGACTCCAAGGTGCGTCACCTGCAGTTCTGATCCCTGTTCTGGATGCAACCCAGGACCCTGCCCTTGCCAAGCATCCCAGGAACACTGGCACTGATGGCTGAGGCTACATCCAAGACAGACGGTGAGGAAGGCCCCAAGGAAAGGGCCGTGTGGGACACATTGTCCTTCCCAAGATGATGAGTCTGAGCCTGGCAGGGGAGGCACTGGGAGGGCCTGTTGTGGGCAGTTCATTCAATGGACACAGGGTGGCACCGCTCTGTGTCCTCTAATGACCATTAGACACCTCTAACCATCACATGATGTGCAGCTCAGCTTTTCCAAGGGCCTGGAAGTGAATATTTCAGGAGATAACGTGAATAACCCACTGTATTCATCTGTTCTCAGGCTGCTAATAAAGACATACCCGAGACTGGGTAATTTATAACAGAAAAGAGGTTTAATGGACTCACAGTTCCACATGGCTGTGAGGCCTCACAATCATGGCAGAAGGCAAAGGTGGAGCAAAGGCACATCTTACATGGTGGCAGGCAAGAGAACCTGTGCAGAGGAACTGCCCTTTATAAAACCATCAGATCTTATGAGACTTATGCACTATCACGAGAACCATACTGGAAACACTCACCCCCCATAATTCAATTACCTCCCACTGAGTCACTCCCACAACGTGGGGATTATGGGAGATACAATTCAAGATGAGATTTGGGTGGGGACACAGCCAAACTATATCATTCCACTCCTGACCCTGCTCACATCCTCACATTTCAAAGCCAATCATGCCTTCCCATCAGTCTCCCAAAGTCTTAACTTATTTCAGCATTAACTTAAAAGTCCACAGTCCAAAGTCTCATCTGAGACAAAGCAAGTCCAAAATCTATTAGGGCAGTCATTAAACCTTAAAATTCCAAAATAATCTCCTTTGACTCCATTTCTCACATCCAGGTCATGCTGATGAAAGAGGTGGGTTTCCATGGTCTTGCGCAGCTCCAACCCTGTGGCTTTGCAGGGTACAGCCTCCCTCCTGGCTGCTTTCATGGGCTGGCATTGAGTGTCTGTGACTTTTCCAGGTTCATGGTGCAAGCTGTCAGTGGATCTACCATTCTGGGGTCTGGAGGATGATGGCCCTCTTCTCACACTAGGCAGTGCCCCAGTGGGGACTCTGTGTGGGGGCTCTGACCCCACATTTCCCTTCCACACTGCCCAAGCAGAGGTTCTGCATGAGGGCTCTGCCGCTGCAGCACTCCTCTGCCTGGACATCTAGGCATTTCCATACGTCCTCTGAAATGTAGGCAGAGGTTCCCAAACCTTAATTCTTGTCTCCCGTGCACCCAACACCATGTGGAAGCTGCCAAGGCTGGGGGCTTGCACCCTCTGAAGCAATGGCCTGAGCTGTACCTTGTCCCCTTTTAGCCATGGCTGGAGTTGAAGCAGCTGGGACCCAGGGCAACATGTCCCAAGGCTGCACACTGCAGGGGAGCCCTGGGCCCAGTCCATGAATGCATTTTTCCCTCCTAGGCCTCTGGGCCTGTGATGGGAGGGGCTACCACAAAGGTCTCTGACATGCCCTGGAGATATTCTCCCCATTGTCTTGGCGATTAACATTTGGCTCCTCATTACTTATGCAAATTTCTGCAGCTGGCTTGAATTTTTCCCCAGAAAATGGGTTTTTCTTTTCTACCATAGTCAGGCTGTAAATTTTCCAAACTTTAATGCTCTGTCATCTCTCAAACACTTTGCTGCTTAGAAAATTCTTCTGCCAAATACCCTAAATCATCTCTCTTAAGTTCAAAGTTCCACAGACCTCTAGAGCAGCAGCAAAGTGCCGCCAGTCTCTTTGCTAAAGCACAGCAAGAGTTGCCTTTGCTCCAGTTCCCGATAAGTTCCTCATCTCATCTCCATCTGAGACCACCACAGCCTGGAGACCACCTTATTGTCCATGTCAGTGTCAGCATTTTGGTCAAAGCCATTCAACAAGTCACCAGGAAGTTCCTAACTTTCCCACATTTTCCTGTCTTCTTCTGAGCCCTCCAAACTGTTCCAACCTCTGCCTGTAACCCAGTTCCAAAGTCACTTCCACATTTTTGGGTATCCTTACAGCAGCACCCCCCTCTCTGCAGTACCAATTTACTGTATTAGTCCATTCCTATGCTGCTAATAAAGACATACCCGAGACTGGGTAATTTATAACAGAAAAGAGGTTTAATGGACTCACTGTTCCACATGGCTGGGGAGGCCTCACAATCATGGCAGAAGGCAAAGGAGGAGCAAAGGCACATCTTACATGGTGGCAGGTAGGAGAGCCTGTGCAGAGGAACTGCCCTTTATAAAACCATCAGATCTCATGAGACTTATTCACTATTGATGCAGGACTTTGCTCCTAGTTCAGCTAAATCTGGGTTCTTGTGTCATGACCAGGACAAGTTAGGCATGCAGACGTATTGAAGGGTGAGGGGAATGGAATTTATTGGGCAAAAACAAAAAAAGGAAAAAAACTCTCAGCAAAGCAGGAGGGGATCCTTCCAGGAGGCTCCCATCTTGCAGATTGAGTTCCAGGCCACCACACAGGAGCTGAAGAGGCCAGGCTCCTCCCTCTTGCACAAGATGTGAATTTCCTGTGGCTCCACCCCATTCTCCCAGTGCACAGGCAGATTGGAGATTCTCCGGGGACCCTCCCCATTATCTGCCTCCTGTGTCTATCACTATCACGGTAACAGCACAGGAAAAATCCGCCCTCATGATTCAATTACCTCCCACTGGGTCCTTCCCACAATACATGAGAATTGTGGGAGCAACAATTCAAGATGAGATTTGGGTGGGGACACAGCCCAACCATATCACCCACTTCCTGTGGCACTTTGTGTCTTCCACTTGATTTTCTCAACCATCCACCAGAATAGACACTGCATCCCCATTTTACAGGTGGGTAAACTGTGGCCCAGAGACACCACAGCTTTCCTGGGGATTACACACAAGTATATACTGGAGCCAGGGCTAGAGGCCAGCCCTCTGACTTCACTGACCTACTTTTCATATACTTTTCATCAGAGGCTCTCCCTACAGGATAGTTTTACAAATGCTAATAAAGAAAGGTTGTTTTCCATTTAAATAATTTTCAACAGCTAAAACGCAGAGCTCTCCATTTAAAACAACAACAGAGGAGACTACTTAGGAATGTGTAACAAGAAATGTGCAAATCTTATATGAGAAAACCTTAAAACACTCTGGAAGACACGAGGATGAGGTCATTAAATGGATGGATGCCCTTGCTCTTGGATAGGATGACTCCACACCATTGAACGTTTTCCACACACACTTTATAAATGTAGTGCAATCCCAGTAAAAACACCAACTTTTCTATTGATGTAGACAAATAGATACTAAAATTCATATGGAAAAACAAACAAGCAAGAACAGCCAGGAAACAGAAAAAAACTCCCTACAAGGGGGCTGGTGGAGAAGCTGCAGCCTACATTAGCTCTGTGACGGAAACGGTGAGACACCAGTGCACAGAGAACAGGCCAGTGGAGCAGAACAGAAAGCTCAGAATAAAACAGGGCACCAAGCACTTATGGAAATTTATGTTTCTAAATAAAGATGGTGATATGATTTGGATCTGTGTCCCCACCAAATCTCATGTCAAATTGTAAGCCCCAGTGTTTGAGGTGACTGGACAATGGGGGCGGGGTTCTCACGAATGGTTTAGCGCCATCCCCTCAGCGTTGTTTTCGTGATAGTGAGTGAGTTATGAGATCTGGTTGTTTTAAAGTGTGTGGCCTCTCCCCCATCTCTCTCTTCCTCCTGCTCCGGCCATGGAAGATGTGCCTGCGTCCCTTTCGCCTTCCACTGTGATTGTAAATTTCCTGCGGCCTCCCCAGAAGCAGAAGCCACCATGCTTCCTCTATAGCCTGTGGAACCATGAGCCAATTAAATCTCTTTTCTTCATAAATTACTCAGTTATGGGCATTTCTTTATAGCAGTGTGAGAATGGACTAATACCGAAAATTGGTACCAAGAAGTGGGGCATTGCTATAAAGATACATGAAAATGTGGAAGCAGCTTTGCGGAAGCAGCTTTGGAACTGGGTAACAGGCAGAAATTGGAAGAGTGTGAAGGGCTCAAAAGAAGATAGGAAGATGTGGCAAAATTCGGAACTTCCTAGAGATTTGTTAAATTTTTGTGACCAAAATGCTGATAGTGATACAGACAGTGAAGTCCAGGCTGAGAAGGTCTCAGATGGAGATGAGGAACTCGCTGGGAACTGGAGCAAAGGCCACTTTTGCTATGCTTTAACAAAGAAACTGGCAGCATTGTGCCCCTGCCCTAGAGATCTGTGGAATTTTGAACTTGAGGGAGATGATTTTGGGTATCTGGTGGAAGAAATTTCTAAGCAGCAAAGCATTCAAGATGTGGCCTGGGTGCTTCTAACTGTCTATGCTCAGATGTGTGAGCAAAGAAATGACCTAAAACTTGAATTTATATTTAAAAGGGAAGCAGAACATAAAAGTTTGGAAAATTTGCAGCCTGGCCCTGTGGTAGGAAAGAAAAGCCTATTTTCAGGGCTGGAATGCAAGCAAGCTGCAGAAATTTGCATAAGTAAAGAGAAGCCAAGTACTAATATCCAAGACAGTGGGGAGAAGGTCTCCAAGGCATTTCAGAGACCTTTGCAGCAGCCCCTCCCATCACAGGCCTGGAGGCCTAGGTGGGAAGAATGGTTTCATGGGCCAAGTCCAAGGCCCCAACACCATGGGACACTGCTCCCTGCATCCCTGCCATTTCAGCTCCAGCTGTGGCTGAAAGGGGCCCAGTTACAGCTCAGGCTGTTGCTTCAGAGAATGTAAGCCATAATCCTTGGTGGCTTCCACGTGGTGTTAAGCCTGCAGCTGCACACAGTGCAAGAGTTAAGGCTTGGGAGCCTCTGCCTAGATTTCAGAGGATGTATGAAAAAGCCTGCGTCTCCAGGCAGAAGCCTGCTGCAAGGGTGAAGCCTTGTGGACAATCTCTATTCGGGCAGTGTGGAGGGGAAATGTGGGGCTGGAGCCCCCACACAGAGTCCCCACTGGGGCACTGCCTAGTGAGGCTGTAAGAAGAGGGCCACCATTCTCCAGACCCCAGAATGGTAGATCCACTGACAGCTTGCACCATATGCTTGGAAAAGCCACAAGCACTTAACACCAGCCCTTGAGAGCAGCTGTGGGGGCTGAATCCTGCAAAGTCACAGGGGTGAAGCTGTCCAAGGCCTTGGGAGCTCACCCGTTTCACCAGTGTGCCCTGGATGTGAGACATGAAGTCAAAGGAGATTATTTTGGAGCTTTAAGTTTTAACAACTGCCCTACTGGATTTCGGACTTGCAGGGGGCCTATAGCCCCTTTCTTTTGGCCACTTTTCCCCCTTTGGAATAGGAGTATTTGCCCAATGCTTGTATCCCCATTGTATCTTGGAAGTAACTAACTTGTTTTTTATTTTACAGGCTCATAGATGGAAGGGTTGTCTTAGATGAGACTTTGGACTTTGAACTTTTGAGTCAATGCTGGAATGAGTTAGGACTTTAGGGGACTGTTGAGAAGGGATGATTGTATTTTGCAATGTGAGAAGGACATGAGATTTGAAGGGGCCAGGGGCAGAATGATAAGGTTTGGATCTGTGTCCCCACCAAATCTCATATCGAATTGTAATCCCCAGTGTTGGAGATGAGGCCTGGTGGGAGATGATTGGATCATGGGGGTGCATTTCTCATGAATGGGTTAGTACCATCCCCTTGGTGCTGTTCTCATGAGAGTGAGTGAGTGAGTTATCATGAGATCTGGTTGTTTGAAAGTGTATGGCCCCTCTTGCATCTCTCTCTCCCTCCTGCTCCAGGAACATAAGATGTGCCTGCATTCCTTTTGCCTCCTGCTGTGATTGTAAGTTTCCTGAGGCCTTCCAGAAGCAGAAACTGCTATCCTTCCTGTAGAGCCTGCATATGTGAGCCCATTAACTTCTTTTTAAATAAATTACCCAGTTATGGGTATTTCTTTTTTTCTTTTCCTTTTTTTATTTTTATTTTTTTTTTAGATGGAGGTTTGCTTTTATTGCCCAGGCTGGAGTACAGTGGGGCAATCTCGGCTCACCATGACCTCCGCCTCCCGGGTTCAAGTGACTCTCCTGCCTCAGCCTCCCCAGTAGCTGGGATTACAGGCGCCCACCACCATGCCCAGCTAATTTTTTGTATTTTTAGTAGAGATGGGGTTTCACCATGTTGACCAGGCTGATCTTGAACTCCTGACCTCAGGTGATCAGCCCACCTCAGCCTCCCAAAGTGCTGGGATTACAGGCATGAGCCACTGCACCCAGCCAGTTATGGGTATTTTTTTCTACAGCAATGCGAGAATGGACTAATATAGATGGCATCTCAAATAATTAAAGCAAAGTTGGACTTTTTAATAAATGGTGCTGGGACAACTCAGTAGCTATTTGGAAAAAGTTAAAATGGGTTCCATACTGTGGCATTAGATGGGTATATATTGGTGTTATGATATATATAAATGGGTATATATTGGTGTTATCACATATATAAATGGGTTTTCATCCATGGTTCCTGGCTCATGCCTCCCCTACCCCTCGTTAGTCTTTTGTTACAATGTCGGGTGTGTTGGGCCACAGGGGAGGCCTCTCACCTTCTCCTGTCCTTCACTCTAACGTCCCCACCTTGCTGACTGTGGGTCTTAAGACCCTCACCTGAGAGGGTCCCACCCTAGACCCTGGGGAAAGGAGTGTTGATGTCATGAAGCTTCTATAAAAGCCCACGAGAACAGTGTTCAGTGAGCTTTTGGAGTTGAATACATGGAAGGTCCTGGAGGGTGCTGCCCGGGGAGGACATGGAAGCAACAAGCCCCTCCCCCTTCCCTCCCCCTCGGCCTCTTCATGCGTATCCTTTGCAACATCCTTTATAATAAGCTGGTAATGTACATAAGTGTTTCCCTGGGTTCTGTGAGCCACTCCAGCAAATTAATCAAACTCCAGCTGGAAGCTGGTTGGTCAGAGGCTCCAGAGGCCCACACTTGCCACTGGTGGGAAAGAGGGAGTGGTCTTGGGGACGGACCCCTTACACTGTAGGAGGTGAAACTAGCTCTGGGCAGGCAGCGTTGGAACTGAATTAGAGGTGCCCGCTGCCTGATGTGTGGGGAAACCTCTGCACATTTGGTTGCAGAAGTCTTCTTCCATGTTGACGGTTGTTGTGGTGTGAGAGCAGAGGAGAAACAGGGTTAGAGTTTCCCCGGCACACACACCTCACACCATACACAAGAATACACCCCAGTGGATTTGGGATCTGAATGTAAAAAATGAAACAAGTACTAGAGGAAATACAGGTGAATTCCTCCATACCCTGAATATGAGGAAAGATTTTTCTAGGAATCAAAACAAAAGATTAATTTGACTACATGAAAATAATAGCATTCTGCATGGCCCAAAACACCACAAAGGCAAAGGAAAATTGAGAGACGAGGAGAAGGTGTGTGCTGCACAATCACAGATGCATAGCTAATATTCCATATATTAAAAAATTCAATATTTGAGGGGGAAAACATCAAAAACTCAACAGAAAAATGGGCAAAAGACATGAAACATGAATAGATCATTTCTCCAAAAATGTATAAAAATGATCTTTAGGCCGGGCGCGGTGGCTCACGCCTGTAATCCCAGCACTTTGGGAGGCCGAGGCGGGCGGATCACGAGGTCAGGAGATCGAGACCATCCCGGCTAAAACGGTGAAACCCCGTCTCTACTAAAAATACAAAAAATTAGCCGGGCGTGTTGGCGGGCGCCTGTAGTCCCAGCTACTTGGGAGGCTGAGGCAGGAGAATGGCGTGAACCCGGGAGGCGGAGCTTGCAGTGAGCCGAGATCCCGCCACTGCACTCCAGCCTGGGCGACAGAGCGAGACTCCGTCTCAAAAAAAAAAAAAAAAAAAGATCTTTAATTATATGAAAAGTTGTTCAACTTCATTTGGAATAAGAAATAAAAATTAAAACTACAGTGAGAGGTCCTCTCCAATCTCGTGTTGTGACAGTTACAGTATTGATGAGGCCGTGGCCTCTCACTGGCTGACGACTCCAAGCTGCACAGCCGTGCGGAAGGCAGTTCAATCCGATAAAACTCCGTGACCCAGCAACTCCACGTTACGAATTCACACCGAAGAAAACCTCCAACGATAGGAAGACTTGTAGGCACAAGGTCATTTGATGCAGTATAATTGGTGGTTGTGAAATACCGGAAAAAATTAAATGCTCCTGTGTAGACGTGTGTTGGCTAAGCTAAGGTACTGCCACATAGTGCCTTCATGCAGCTGCACAGAGAATGAGGATGGTCTCTATGACCCAACACGGAGTGATTTCAATGTATGTTGTTAAGTGATGAAAAAAGGCAAAGAGCAAAAGATTATAGTAGGCTATTTGGGGTGAGAAAAAAGAGAAATAAGAAAATAATATACATGCATCATTTTACTTTTGCAAAAAGAAACACAGAAAGGCTAAATGAGAATTGAGAATGTCTGGTTGCCTCCAGGAGGTGGGTGGGGCAGGGCAGAAAGGAGGGGGAGACGGGAGTGACCACTGCGTGAGCAAACCCTTCTGTAACTCCAAACTTCAGAACATGTTATTGTCTCCCCTACTCAGAAACTAATAACTGAAACCAATAAGCGTGGGGAAACAAAATGGAATCGACACTCATTTCATTTCAAATGGATAATATAAGCACACTGGATGCAAGGGAAAGGGGAGGATAAGACATTTTTTAACAGGCCAGGCATGGTGGCTCATGCCTGTAATTTGGGAGGCCAAAGTCGGCGGATCACCCGAGGTCAGGCATTCGGGACCAGCCTGGCCAATATGCTGAAACCCTGTCTCTAGTAAAAATACAGAAATTAGCCAGACATGGTGGCAGGCACCTGCAGGTGCAGGTGCAGCTACTTGGGAGGCTGAGGCACGAGAATCGCTCAAACCCAGGAGGTGGAGGTTGCAGTGAGCCGAGATAGCACCACTGCACCCCAGCCTGGGTGACAGAGCGAGACTCTGTCTCAAAAAAAAAAAAGAAATTTTTGAACAAAGTATTTTGACCATGTACTCATAGGCCAAAGATCCCTCAAAATTATAAGTAAATATTATAATTGTATAATTATCTATTTATATATAATTATATTATTAAAAAATTATAAATAAGCTCTACACAGTAGGTTTGCTTTTCACACAGGTAGGGATTAGCAACCCTGAAGCTGCTTTCTGTGTATTCTCGGATGCAGCAAATAGACAATTACACTGTGGCTGGTGGGGGTCTGGTCTCCACTCTCTGAAAAGGTGTTACAGTGGCGGGAAGGCAGCCAAGCAGACACACAGGTGTGCATGGGTCAGTGGTGTTACAGACTGACTGTGTCCCTCCCGTGTTCATATGTCAAAGCCCTTAAGCCCTAATGTGAGTGCATTTGGAGATGGGACCTGTAAGGAGGTAGTTATGGTTAAATGGGGTCATAAGGGTGGGGTTCTAATTTGACAGGACTGGTGTCCTTCTCAGAGGAGACACAGAGATTGTTCTCTCTCTGCAAGTGGACAGAGAAGAGGCCATGTGAAGAAATGAGAAGGCAGCTGTACGCAAGCCAGGGAGGGAGGCCTCACCAGAAACCAACCCTGACAGCACCTTGACCTTGAACTTCTAGCTTCCGGAACTATGAAAAAATTAGTTTCTGTTATGGAAGCCTCCCACGGTATGGCATTTCATTACAGCAGCCCCAGTACACTGAGGGATGGTAGCTGGAGGTCAATAGATGAATAACAAAATTAGACGGATGATAGACAGGGATATCATTGTCCGTCTTAAATTACCAGACTCAGAAAATATGATTAAGCATAGAGTTTACTGGAGCCCAGAGCTTAAGGACAGCCACCTGGGAGCACAGGTTCAAGCTGCCCTAAATCGAAGCTCCCATTAGCAGCAGCCTCTGACTCCCGCCCGAGGGCCCCCAGCACTACTGTGGAATTCCGGCCGGAACACACAGCCTGGACCTGGTCATGAGAAACGGCCCCACAAGCCCAACTTGAGATGCATTTTACAGAATAAGTGGCTTAAACGTCTCAAAAACGTCAAGGTCAGGAAAGGTCAAATTAAAGGAGACAAAGAGGTAAGAGAATAATGTAACAGTGAGCCAGCACCATTCCTGCCTCTGCAAAGGGGAAGGTGAGGGGATTGTTCCCATTATCAGGGGAAAGGGGTTCTCAGGAGACCTGGAGAAACGCCCAGGCGTAGCCTGGCCTGGGGCAACTGGAGCCGACCACTGCAGTGGGCTCTGGCAGGCACTGCGTCTCCCCCGAGGTCTCTGCTGAAAACAACGACCACGGAGGCCCTGATGCCTCCTACCTGGGCTGTGACCCTGGCCTAGGGCTCCTCGCACCTCCTGCACCCCACAGCCTCCGGGCCAGGCTCCGGCTCCCACCCAGTCCCTGCAGCCAAGGGAAGCCGCTGCCTGCAGGCCTGGAGGGCTCCCTGTTCCAGCTGCTCCCTCACTGGCCTCCGGCAGGGTCAGGACAGAGAGGGGGTGGCAAATCCACTGACCCCAGCGGAAGCCTCGCCAGAGTCTCCCAGGCACCGGTGGACCCAGGCATCTGGGGCCAGCGGGGAGGCCACGGAAAGGGGACAGTGCTGGCTCTGGGCCCCTCGGGGGACCGTCCTGCACTGGTGCCCATGGGCAGCAGAGGGCGCCCCTGACCATCCCTCCATGGCGTCCGCAGGAGCCTCACCAGCCTCAGGGTCCAGGGGCACCCACCCAGCTGTCAACCTAGCTGTCTGGAGTGAGCTTCAGTGGGAGGGGAGGAGGGGGCCTGCGATTGTGCAGGGACGAGGCTGGGGGAGCAGAGACTCCAGAAACCGTGTCCCACACCCCGCACTGCCCCTCACTGTGCAGCCCCAGCCTCCCTCCTAGAGCCCCCCAGCTGCTAGGCTGTGACAATTGCTTGTGTATCTGGACCCAGCAGGCTACAGGTCACTGTGACCTTGGGGCCTGGGGTCCCAAAGCCAGGCTGCCTGCCCCCGTTTCCCCCACCGCCATCTCCAGAGCCACCATCACCAGTTCTGCCACCCTCGGCCCTCCCTGTCACTGCAGGGCAGCCCTGGACTCGCTCAGACCCTGAGTTCAGACCCTGGGGTGCAGAGGCTGATGGCCCGGCGCTGGCCTCCTGAGCCCTCCTCACCCCTGGGCACTCACTGAGTACTGGGCCTGCTCTCCTGAGGGCAAAAGAGCACCCAACCCCTCCCCCAGCTCTGAAACAACCCTCAGATCCTGATGCTTTTGGGGTCACATGTTTGGGGAGGGAACTGGCAGTAGCCCAGGAGCCCTAGATCACGGAGGTCACCCTGCTGAACGCGAGGGTCTCTGCCTCCCAAGGGTGGGGACTCCAGAGGCCGGGCACCTGGGAGGGCCTTGCTCTGGGCCCTCCGGCCTGGCTGTGGCTGGCACCCTGGGACCCCAGACCCAGCCCAGAGCAGGGATGGCTGCGTCTCGCTCCCAGTTTGTCCTGATCCCAGAGCCTCCAGCCACAGCTCCGTAAGGTGGGCACTGAGATGGCCCTGAGGCCTGGAGGCCCTGAACGGAGATGAGGTCTCTTTCCACAGACCAGCCGCGTTCCCACCGCACCCTCTCTTTGGGGTTTGATTGGCCCAGGGAGTGTGAGTGTTCCTGAGAAGCCCAGATGTTACCCAGGCACTCGGCCCCAGGCTCTGTGACTCCCATGTGGGGACAATGGAAACCAGATGCTGGGAAGCTGGGCTGGGTGGGCGGGCCCCTGGCAGCTGTGTGCTGCGTCCATCTGGACTGGTCTCTGAGCCCCGGGCCTGTGGACCTCGGCCTCATGGGAGCCCCAGCTCTGTCACTGTTACTCCCTCCATCAGCTCCCACCGACAGAGTGGACATTCTCTTGACAACTTGAGAAAACGGAGCTTCTGGGAGCCTGTGTCCCGACCCGAGCTCAGGCAACTAGTGGGTGACAGAGCTGGGACCGCACCCAGTTCTGACTGCCCCAGCTTTCCTGGCACATCCAGCCTGGGGTATACCAGGCAGGATGCCAGCAGTTTCTCTGAGCCACGGTGTGGTCAGGCAGAGAGACGGAGGGTCTGAGTGGCCCCCTACAGATGCTGTGGTCCTGCGTGGAAACCCTCTGGGTGTCTGAGGAGTGGGGTGATGTGGGACTGTGACCACCCATGTTCAGCTCCCTGCAGAGTGGCAAGGAGCCCCCCGCCCCCGTCTCTCTGGGACCCAGCCGGAGTGGGGGCTGCTGGTCTGTAAGGGATCCTAACCCTTTCTTCCCTACTGCCCCAGCCTCGTTAAAACTGCTGCATGCCGGCGGGTGAGCGGGACATGGGGCAGCCCCCGCAGCTGAGCTCCCCACTGCCGGGGGAGGGCCTGTGTGGAGCTCCGAGACCAGGTCCTAGAAGCCCCTGGGCCCTGCCCTGCGCTGCGAAGGGAACCGGGTGTCTGAGCATGGGGCCGGCAGGACCGACAGCATCGGGGCTTGAAACCCAGTGCTCGGGAGCCCGCCCCTCCCCCCACGACCTTTTGGGCCCAGAAGCCATGATGGGGGCACAGAGGAGGGAGTTTCGGGCCCCGGCCCGGGGTGCGGGGTCTCACACAGGGACCCCAGGTCTGAGCTGTGCCACTCGTGCAGCCCTGGCCCTCCGCAGCCTCGGCAACCCCACCCGAGGGCTCCCACTGCTGCCCACAGACATCTCAGGGTCTCCCGGGCCGGGTCAGCGGCGCCGGAACAGGGTCTCCCGGGCCGGGTCAGCGGCGCCGGAAGTGATTCTCGTCAGCAGGAATGCGCTGGCTGCCCGGGAGCCTTCAGGGTGGGCTCTGGGGGCCAGGTGCGGCCTCAGCGCCGTCCCTTCCCGGGAAGCCTCCTCCCTGGGGTCCACGCCGGCTCCTGCTGGCTCCCCCATTCCGCTGAAATCTGAGGAAAAGGCTCTGGGAACGCAGCCAGACTCCCCCACAGCTCAGACGGCTGTAAAGAAATATTCCTGCCAGATGTTCAGAGGCGGAGGCCAGCATGAGGTAACGGGAAAGGCTTAACCCGTCCAGCCCCGCAGCCTCGCAGCCGCCTCCGGGGCCCAGCTCTAGGGGCTGCGGGCCCCGTGCCGTGGGGGACGTCCCTGCCGCGTCCGTGTCCCGGGGGCCGGGCCTGCCTGCGGCGGGAGCCCACCCCGTGCGGTCAGACGGGCTCAGAGCGCTCTTCTGCAGTCTCCAGCCCTCCCTGGAGGGCGTGTTGGACCAGCCCCTGATGGGCGCCCGGGAGCCACGGGATGGGGCGTGATGCCAGCCTGGGAGAGGGATCCACTCGGGGGTCCTCAGGAGGCGGTGCCAGCCCCCGGCATGGCTTGGGGGAGCCTCTGTGTTGCCAGCGCTGGGCAGCCCTGGACCCCCCGCCACCCTTTGCCTCACGGGCCCTGGGTTTCAGGGCAGTGGCCTCTCAACCCAGCGAGATCACAGCGCCATCGAGACAGTCTTTCAGTCTTTTTTTTTTTTTTTTTTTTTTTTTGCGTCTCTTTGAAATGACAGTTCCCAGAACCAGAGCTTCTATGGCGGATTCTCACCAGAAAATGAAATTCTCAGCTTACAGGCAACGGAACAAAATGAAATCAGGCCAATGCACGCGGCCCCGGGAAGCACCAGGGGGCCTCAGCGAGCTCCTGAGTTTCACACTCAGTGCGGGGGTTTCCGCCTCAGCCCCTCTTAGCGGGAGTCACTAAAGGAAACGCAGAGAGGGCGGGAACGCAACCCCAGCACCCTGCGGCTCCCGCCACGGGGTCGCGCCCTCCCTCTGATATCCAGAGCCTGCGGCTCCCAGAGGCGCTCCCGGAACAAACCGGGGCGCGCAGAGCTTTCTTCGCCGCTGTCTGGGGGCCGCAGGACTGTCCCAGGGCCCGTGATTGACGGACCAGTCCCCGGCATTGAGCCTTGTGTCTTTCCAGTTACAGGCGATGCTGCCGGAAACGTGTGTTTTCCTATCTAGGAGTCAGTCTGTCGCAGACCGATTCCTGGATCGCCGAGGTCGCCCACTCTCCCCAGAAGCCTGCTCCCTCCCGACCCGACCGGTGGGAGGCCGCGTCCCCGACGCTTGCCAGGAGCCCCGCCTGCAGCCGAGGCGTCCTCCCCGCGCCGCGGGCTCCTGTGGCAACGGCCGCCTCCCGGCTGGCCTCTTTTCTGCCTTCTGCCTTCCCGTTGGCGACTGGGGAGGCCCGTGGTCAACGAGGCCCCAGCGATCACCTGGGGGACGTCCTGTAGGGAGAGCCTGACTCACAAGGACCAGTGTTGAGCCGTCGCACCCCCGCTTGGGACCAGGATGGGCTGCACTTTCCCCACCCGCGGCCCTGGGACCCGCCCCACCCGAAGCCCGGGGAGATCCAACCGCAGGCTGCCTCCGGCCAGCGGACTCATTCACACTCCGCAAACAGGCTGGGGCCAGACGCCGCCCTGCCCTAGGTGCCCAGCAAACACGCGGGCCAGCCAGACCCCTGGACCTTCACAGGGAGGAGGAGATGGAGATGGGTTCACCCCCCACAAAGGAGGGAGGGGAGGGGATGGCCGCCATGCCCAGGTGCCGGGACAGGAGCCGAGGGCCGCGTGCACCCCTTGGGCCCTTGGAGGGGCCGGCATGTGCCTCTCTGTCCCTGTGCCACTTCCACTGGCCGTACAGGGCCACCACCGCGGAAACCGCATGTGTAACCCCTGGAAACAGGGTCCTCCTTGATGAGTCATGTTCTAAGTTGGGAGGAAAATTCACTGGATAGTGGAGGCAGTAGAAAGAAATAAAAAAAGTCTTTGTTCCACAGATGCTTGGAGGGCTTGGGTCCTCGGTGTTTATAGTGGGTGCCGCCTTCCAACACCACACCCTGGGAGGGAGTCGCCGGACGGCGTTCCGGAAACTCCACAGTCACTGGGGAGGGGGCACGGACAGCCCCCACCACCTGCCCTCCGGGCACAAACGCAGGGCCTGTCCCCTGCCCGTGGGCGCAGCTGTCCTGCTCCCTCCCCGAAGGCACTCGGACTTCTGTGGAAAAAGAGCTTATGGGATGGAAAATCCCTGGATGAGTTTCCTCCCAGCCTTTCCTGGGGGTGGAGGACAGACCTGCAGCCCCGAGCGAGCTCCTGCCAGCGCCTGGAGAGTGGAGGGCGGGGCCCAGTCTCAGCACTGCAGCCGGGCCCTGCGGGGCTAGAAGCACCGTCCCCTCCGCCGTCCACCCTCACTGCGTGGGTCTCGAGGCCTCCTTGTCTAGAAAATTTCCCCAGCTGGGGCCTGGGTTTTTGGAGCCCATGGAGGGCAGGTCCTCCACATCTCGGGTGCCCTGGGTAGGGCAGGGAGGCGACTGACGCGTGGCGCAGAGCTTGGCCGGCCGTGGTGATAGGAGAGGGGGTGGCTGAGAGACCTGGGAGGAAAAAGATTTTTAAAGGGGGAAGTGGGACCCTGCCTTGGGGCTGGGGTTGGGAGTTCCGTGTGGGTGTGGGTGGGGAAGTATCGGGGGACCTGCCCTGATAATCACGTAGGTTCTTTTCTATTTTTCCTAAGCGTCGGCCGGCTTGAGAAATAAAGGGACAGAGTACAAAAGAGAGAAATTTTAAAGCTGGGCATCCGGGGGAGACATCACACGTTGGTAGGATCTGTGATGCCCCACAAGCCGCAAAAACCAGCAAGTTTTTATTAGGGAGTTTCAAAAGGGGAGGGAGTGTGTGAATAGGTGTGGGTGACAGACAGCAAGTACTTAACAGGGTAATAGAATATCACAAGGCCAGTGGAGGCAGGGCGAGATCACAGGACCACAGGACCGAAGCAAAATTAAAATTGCTAATGAAGTTTTGGGCACCACTGTCACTGATAACATCTTATCAGGAGACAGGGTTTTGACATCAACCGGTCTGACCAAAATTTATTAGGTGGGAATTTCCTCTTCCTAATAAGCCTGGGAGCGCTATGGGAGACTGGAGTTTATTTCATCTCTGCAGCCTCAACCATAAGAGACAGGCCCACCTGGGGGGGCTGTTTATAAGCCAATACCTCCAGGTGCGTATTCTCTTTCTCAGGGATATCCCATGCTGAGAAAAAGAATTCAGCGATATTTCTCCCATTTGCTTTTGAAAGAAGAGAAATATGGCTCTGTTCTGCCTGACTCACCTGCGGTTAGAGTTTAAGGTTATCTCTCTTATTCCCTGAACAATTGCTGTTATCCTGTTCTTTTTTCAAGGTGCTCAGATTTCATATTGCTCAAACACACATGCTGTACAATTTTTGTAGTTAACACAATTATTACAGGGTCCTGAGGCAATATACATCCTCCTCAGCTGACAGGATTAAGAGATTAAAGTAAAGACAGGCATAGGAAATCACAAGGGTATTGACTGGGGAAGTGATAAGTGTCCATGAAATCTTTACAATTTATGTTTAGAGATTGCAGTAAAGACAGGCATAAGAAATTATAAAAGTATTAACTTGAGGAACTAATAAGTGTCCATAAAATCTTCACAATCCACGTTCTTCTGCCGTGGCTTCAGCCGGTCCCTCCATTTGGGGTCCCTGACTTCCCACAACAGGGGAGGGGGTACGGTTGGTCCAAAAGGGGAAGGACAGAAGCGGGGCCTGGGCCAGCAGCCCTGGGGCTCCCACCAGCCACCAGCAGCACTGAGTCTCCTCTGCAACTTTCCCTGTGGACAAAGGCAGTTTCCTGGGATGGTCTTTCCTTCCCGTTCCACCACTTTTATGGGTTTAAGAAAACCACTAACACAGGACAGCGGTGGATAATTCCCCTTTTCCCCGCGCTGACGTTTGGAGGCACCAGGGCTCCTCAAGGTGGACTGGGGGGCTCCTCTCCCTGAACGCAGGGTCCTGATGGGGGTGGGGGTGGGGGTGGGGGTGGAGGGCAGGCAGGTTCCAGAAACAGCCCTGCCCTCCCCTGCCTCCCGGGACAGCTTCCTCCACCAAGCCCACCTCATGCTCCATCCTCATCCCCTCTTAGCCAGGTCCTGCTGGAAGAGGAGGCTCGGGTCCACCCGCAGGAGTCAGAGAGGCCCTGCCAGGGACACTGCACATTCAAGGCCCTCTCCTCCATCCTTCTTCCTCTCCCTCCTCCCACCCTCTCCCTCCTCCCACCCCCTCTCCCCTCCTCCCATTCTCTCCCTCCTCCCACTCTCTCCCTTCTCCCACCCTCTCCCTTCCCACACCTGGAGACTCAGATCCCCCCAGGGCTGTGGACGACTGGCACAGTGGGGTAAGTCCTGCTCCCCACAGCTGCTTCTGGGATCCCAGACTGGGCCCAGAGTCCCCATCCACAGAAGGGCCGGCAGGCCTGAGAAAGGACAGCCAGGTCGCCAGGGAGGGGATGTGGCTCGCCCCCTTCTTCCCTTTCTCTGGAAGTGCATTTACCTCCCCCCACACACAGGCGGGGTTGCAGGGCCCTTCCCAGCCAGACCCTGCAGTGCAGCTCTCTGGGAGGCCCCCCAGGGCAGTGGTTTCCTGGCTCTGTGCTTCCTAGGATCCTGGAAGCCGACTGGGCTGGGGTTGGGGGGTGGAGCCCCATGGGAGAAGGATCTCCTGCAGGAATGGCCTGGATGGGGGCTTGGGGGTGGACATGTGCCAGAGACACCTGGGTAACTTCAGGAGAGAGGAGGGAGGGGGAGAGAGGAGGGAGGGGGAGAGAGGAGGGAGGGGGAGAGAGGAGGGAGGGGGAGAGAGGAGGGAGGGGGAGAGGGGGGGAGAGAGGAGGGAGGAGGAGAATAGGGGATGGGAGAGAGGAGGGAGACGGTGAAGGGGAGAGTAGGGAGCCGGAGAGGAGAATGAGGACAGGGGAGAAGAGGGAGGGGGAGATGAGGAAAGGGGGAGGGGAGCAAGTGTGAGAGGAGGGAGGGGGAAAGGAGGGAAGGGGGAGAGGAGGGGACAGGAGAGAGGAAGAAGGGGGAGAGGAGTGAGTGTGAGAGGAGGGAGGGGGAGAGAGGGGAAAAGGGGGAGAGGAGGGAGGGGGAGAGGAGGGAAGGGGGAGAGGAGTGAGCATGAGAGGAGGGAGGGGGAGAGAAGTGAGCGTGAGAGGAGGGAGGGGGAGAGGGGACAGGAGAGAGGAGGGAGGGAGACAGGAGTGAGCGTGAGAGGAGGGAGGGGGAGAGGAGTGAGCATGAGAGGAGGGAGGCGGAGAGGAGGGGACAGGAGAGAGGAGGGAGGGGGACAGGAGTGAGCGTGAGAGGAAGGAGGGGGAGAGGAGGGAAGAGGGAGAGGAGTGAGCATGAGAGGAGGGAGAGGGAGAGGACTGAGCGTGAGAGGAGGGAGGGGGAGAGAAGAGAAAAGAGGGAGCAAAGGGGACAGGAGAGAGGAGGGGGGGAGCGGAGGGAGCTCACCCGCTGTGGGTGGGGCAGGTTGTGGAAATCAGCCCCATGACAACAGTAAGCTCAGCCAGGACTGGGATTCAGGATGTTTTATTTTCATGCTTTATGTGGTTTTCATGTTCTCCCTGAGACATAAGCATCACTTACAATCAGAAAAGATCCCTGATGAAAGTGCATGAAGGAACACAAAGCAGGCGACTGCACGTCTATGAACACGCTCACGGTACGGTGCACAGAGCAGGCGACAGCACGTCTATAAACACACTTATAGCACGGTGGCCACGGTGGCTCACGCCTGTCATCCCAGCACTTTGGGAGGCCGAGGAGGGCGGATCACCTGAGGTCAGGAGTTTGAGACCAGCCTGGCTAACATGGCGAAACCCTACCTCTACTAAAAATACAAAAATTAGCTGGGCATGGTGGCATGTGCCTGTAGTTCCAGCTACTTGGGAGGCTGAGGCAGGAGAATCACTTGAACCCGGGAGGCGGAGGTTGCAGTGAGCCGAGATTGTGCCACTGCACTCCAGCCTGGGCGACAGAGCAAGACTCCATCTAAAAAAAAGAAAAACGCTTAAGCAGAAACACACTGAAGTATTAGCTCTGAATCCCACTCGGTAGTGAAACTAGATGTTGCTTTATGATTTTAAAAAATTCGCTATGATGAACATGTATCTTCTTCATAAGAGAAAGAGTCAAGTTTACTCTGAGTCATCATTGCAGATTTCCTGTGAAGCAGAGGCACCTCTGGGCCCCACCCAGGCCTGGGACCGCCCTGAGCCTGAGCCCCTCACACAGTGCGGCCCCAGCCCTGCCTCGGAGAAGCCCAGGCCAGGATGAAGCCTGGGACCGGGGGAGGAGTCGGACCGCGGCCCTGGAGCTCAGGATGCTGCAGCCTGGGGTGTCGGCGTTATTCCCACGCATCTCCACAGCTCCCGCCGCACCCACCCCGCGGACCTGCTGGCGGAGCCGGTGGTATACTGTGAACTGACTTATGAAACCACCTCTGCAAGGCAAAACAGGCCATTGGCCACTGGGCCCCGTGAACCTGTCCCTGGGCGTCCGCATCTCTTCCATCTTACAGACCGTGTGTCAGCCACCTGCTGCTGTGTGCCTGTGGTGGGACCCTCACTGCAGGGAATGCTGCATTCTTGGTGTTTGCTTACACAACGTGTTCCTATTTCCTTTCCCAAATCTGCAAGCACTCCTTGCAGATAAAACAGCTCAGACTGGGAGAGGCCAAGAGAACACGGAGGTCCTGAAGCCCCCTGTGCTTGAGTCAGGAGCCCAGAGGCTGGTGCCACAGCTCCAAGCAGGCAGCACCAAACCTCAGCACCCACAGCCACAGTGTGGATGACATCAGTGGCAGGTAAATTGACTGTACAGTAAGTGTACAAGGCCAGGCACGGTGGCTCATGCCTGTAATCCCAGCACTTTCGGAGGCCGAGGCAGGAGGACCACTTGAGTCCAGGAGTTCGAGACCAGCCTGGGCAACATCGTGAGACCCCCATCTCTACAAAACATACAAAATTAGCTGGGTATGGTGGCACATGCCTGTGATCCCAGCTACTCGGGAGGCTGAGGTGGAGGGATCACCTGAACCCAGGAGACTGAGGCTGCAGTGAGCTGTGATGAGGCCACTACGTTCCAGCCTGGATGACAGAGTGAGCCCCTTAGATAATAATAATAATAATAAGGAGGAGGAGGAGGAGGAGGAGGAGGAAAAGAAGGAGAAGTACTTTACAACTTCTGTAACGTAGGTGTGGGGAAAATATTGAAGGCAATCCAAAAACAGTCACTGTGGAGTTGTGGAATTAAGTATCAATTTTAAAGGTTTTTTCAAATGTTTCTTTAACATGGTTTTTGGTATGAACAATTTGTGTACGTTTTAAAATTATAAGACATTTAGGCTGGTGTTAGGCAAGTCTCAGCAGCTCCAGCTTTGGGAAAGCTCTTCTGGGACCTTCTGTGGGCCAGGGATGCATCTGGCCACATCTGGAGCCCACCCCCAGGTGATATCAGGGACAGCCCCTCTCTCCTCTCTCTGTCTCTCTTTCTGTCTCTCTGTCTCTGTCTCTCTGTCTCTGTCTCTCCGTCTCTGTCTGTCTCTCCTCTCTGTCTCTCTCTGTCTCTGTCTCTCTGTCTCTGTCTTTGTCTCTCTCTGTCTCTCCTCTCTCTGTGTCTCTGTCTCTGTCTCTCTCTCTGTCTCTCTCTGTCTGTCTCTCTGTCTCTCTCTGTCTCTGTCTCTCTCTGTCTGTCTCTGTCTCTCCTCTGTCTCTCTGTGTCTGTCTCTCTGTCTCTGTCTTTCTGTCTCTCTCTCACTGTCTCTGTCTCTCTCTGTCTCTCTGTCTCTGTGTCTCTCTGTCTCTGTCTCTCACTGTCTCTCTCTCTGTCTCTGTCTCTCTGTCTCTCTGTCTCTCTGTGTCTCTCTGTCTCTGTCTCTCTGTCTCTGTCTCTCCTCTGTCTCTCTGTGTCTCTCTCTGTCTTTCTGTCTCTCTGTCTCTCTCTGTCTCTGTCTCTCTCTCTGTCTCTGTCTCTCCTCTGTCTGTGTCTCTGTCTGTCTCTCTGTCTCTGTCTCTCTGTCTCTCTCTCACTGTCTCTCTCTGTCTCTCTGTCTCTGTCTCTCTGTCTCCACACACAGCATATATAACAACTATATTGTGAGCAACTTTGTCTTCCCACGGTACAAACTGAAATATCTTTGGCAAATACGTATCCGACTATACTGTGAAGAAATATTGACGTGAAAAAAGAACGCGGAGATCTGATAAAGCAACAATTCAGCTCACGGCGAGGTCCTCTGCAGGAGGCGGTTGGTGGGAAGAGGCGAGTGAGCCTGCCCGTGCGTCCCGCATGGAGACGTCTGGATTGGAAACTACCGAAAGATGTTTCAAGGAACTCTCCCTGGGTGACACGCTGGTTTTCAGACGTTTGATTCAGCTGCTGCAGTTTCCTCCTCCCTGACACGGGAACTGAACTGCAGGCCGCGGCGAGCCAGCCAGGGAAACCGCCTTCTCCCTGGGCTCGGAGCTGCTGCCGGTTCTGGAGGGAGAGACCCCAGCAAGGAGGTGGTGACTCATGGGCCGCTCCTCCCCGCCCCGCCCCGCCCCTCCCCTCCCGCCCCGCCCCTCCCCTCCCGCCCCTCCCCTCTCCTCCCGCCCCTCCCCTCCCCTCCCCTCTCCTCCCGCCCCGCCCCTCCCCTCCCCTCCCGCCCCTCCCCTCCCCTCCCGCCCCTCTCGCCCCGCCCCTCCCCTCCTTGCCCTCCGCTCTCACTCTGGCTGGGAGCAGAAGGCAGCCTCGGT
The DNA here is from genome assembly GCF_000001405.40 of Homo sapiens. Taxonomy (NCBI): domain Eukaryota; kingdom Metazoa; phylum Chordata; class Mammalia; order Primates; family Hominidae; genus Homo; species Homo sapiens. The sequence continues at coordinate 45,981,786 of NC_000021.9, forward strand.
CTCTGGGCGGCGGCGGCGGCCCACTCTGCCCTGGCCGCGCTGTGTGGTGACCGCAGGCCCCAGACATGAGGGCGGCCCGTGCTCTGCTGCCCCTGCTGCTGCAGGCCTGCTGGACAGCCGCGCAGGATGAGCCGGAGACCCCGAGGGCCGTGGCCTTCCAGGGTGAGTGGTGGCTTGGGGTGCAGGCTCCAGACCCCCCGCTCTTTGCTGCCGGCCAGGGCCAGATGCGCGGGGTCCCCTCCCACGCGTGGAACTGCAGACTGGGGGCCTGGAGCCCCTGAACCCCACTCCCCGCTCGGGGCGGCTGCAGCGCCCAGCTCTGCCCCACCGGGCCTTGGCCGGGGCCCCTAGAGGCTCAGCATTCAGCATTCTCAGCGGGGCCGGACCGCAGGCAGCTCGGGAGGGGCTCCCTGGCGAGGGGGAGCTGGTGCGGGGCTGTCTCGGCGCCCCGTGAATCCGTTTGACCCCTCACCTGGCAGTGAGTCCAGACGCACGGCCCCCCCGACCCCCGTTCTAGAAGAAGTCGTGCGCTGCTGGTTCTGAATCCAGCGAGAAACCTTCCCGTGAGGTCTCACTTGTCCGGTCCCGTGCCGGGGACGCCCTGCCCTTCGGGGGAGGTTGTGAAGGTTTCTGACTCCCCTCGAGGCACAGGAGCGGTTTGGGGTCTCTCACTCCACCCCCTCCCCACCGTCCCCACCGAGGGACGTCCTGCTGCCTTTTCCCGGGAGAGCCTCTCCGGGCCCGGGGCTCTGTGCTGCAGGCGCTGGGCTGGCCGGGAGGGCAGGCCCAGCAGAGACTCGGGGAATGGGGCGAGAGCTTGAAGGCCCCTCTCCTCCATCTTCGGCCAGACTGCCCCGTGGACCTGTTCTTTGTGCTGGACACCTCTGAGAGCGTGGCCCTGAGGCTGAAGCCCTACGGGGCCCTCGTGGACAAAGTCAAGTCCTTCACCAAGCGCTTCATCGACAACCTGAGGGACAGGTAGGAGGGACGCCCCGTGACCTTCCTCCTGTGCTTCTGGGCCTCTTGGAGGGAGGGGTGGGGGCCCAGGGGAACACGGGTGCGACGGCCTCAACCTCCTAAGGTTGGGCGAGCGTTGCCCTGACCGGGGCCCCTCCCGGCGCCCTCCAGAGTGAGGCCGGGGCCCTTTCCGGCGCCCTCCAGAGTGAGCTGGTCTGAGCCTCTCCCAGCGCCTTCCAGAGTGAGCTGGTTTGAGACCCTGCTCGCGGGGGTGGCACCTGTTCAGCAGGGCCGAGGTGACAGTGAGGCTGAGATGTAGGGAAGAGAGGCTCCCGCAGGCTGACCGAGAGGGCTCAGCGCACTGGCCCAGACACGCAGTCCTGCCTGGTGCGCGGGAGCCCCTCACTAACCACCTGGACCCTGGTTTGTTCCGTGGGCAGTGAGAGCCTCTACCTGGGTCCTGGATCCCACGTTCTGAAGGTCCCCGACTCGGGAGCCAGGAGGGGTGTCGCTCTGCAGCCCCAGGGCCCCCAGGCTTGGTTCTGGGCTTGGGACACGGCACCCTCTGCTCCACGTTCCTCCATCTGTGCGTGTGGCTGAGGACAGACCGGGGGGAGAGGGGAGTCGGTCCTGTGGGTGCACAGGGCCGCTGAGGGGGGGGCATGTAGAACGGGGCTCCCCCACTGAGACGGGTCCTGGCAGTGGGGACACAGCTTAGCCGGCGTAGGAACCCCCGTCCTCCTTGACCCTGCTGACTGGCCGCTGGGCCGGAGCCTCCCGCCACCAGAAGGGGCACAGTCAGAGGCTGCCGGTAACAGCAGGGTGGACCTTCCAGCCCACACCGTGCCCAGCAGGAGCCATTGGTACCAGGAACCCTGAGCTTAGTGGACATGGCCAGGCCCGTGCGGCAGTGTTTGGGGGGGGGTCTGGCTGTGGATGGCACCGGGGAGGGGCGGCCGCGTGGCCCAGCGTCCCCCGAGTCGCCCTTGTTGCCTTTACTCAGTCTCCCCATGACTCAGTTTCCCACCTGTGAAATGGGGCGGAGTCATCCCCATGTCGCTGCCACTGGATTCCTGCAGGCGCCGTGGTCACTCTGCTGAATGGATGGGAGGGTGGGTGGGGCAGAGGTGGGCCCACCCCAGGCTGGGGCAGAGCAGACCCCTGAGAGCCTCAGGCTCAGGTGCTCAGAGGGCAGCGAGGGGGCTGCTCAGATCCCCGGGGTGCCTCCTTCCCCCACTGTCATGCTGCCCCACTGCAGGCCCAAGGACCCCACCCCAGCAGGGCCACACACTCAGGGCTCCTGGTCTGAGGGCCTGAGGGATCGGGGCGCAGGTCGCTTGCTGGCCACACCCGCCTGCACAGCCTTCCAGGAGGGCCGGCCTCAGGGCCACAGGGCAAGTCCAGCTGTGTGTCAGCCACGGCCAGGGTGGGGCAGCCTGTCCATCTGGGTGACGTCGCGCCCTGGGACGGGTAGCGATGGCGCCAGGGGCCGCCCGCCTCACGCCCGCCGTGCCTGTTCCTGGCAGGTACTACCGCTGTGACCGAAACCTGGTGTGGAACGCAGGCGCGCTGCACTACAGTGACGAGGTGGAGATCATCCAAGGCCTCACGCGCATGCCTGGCGGCCGCGACGCACTCAAAAGCAGCGTGGACGCGGTCAAGTACTTTGGGAAGGGCACCTACACCGACTGCGCTATCAAGAAGGGGCTGGAGCAGCTCCTCGTGGGGTGAGTGGCCCCCAGCCTCCTGCCCACGCCAGTTCTCACGCGTGGTACCCAGCCTGGGCTGGGGTTGGCCTGGGGTCCCTGTGCGGCTTCAGCTGCAGCCTCCCTGTTCTCTTGGAGGCTGCACGGCCTCCCTGACCCACTTTGTGGGCAGGAAAGAGACGGAGACAGACAGAGACAGAGAGAAACAGAAACAGGGAGAAACAGACACAGAGAGAGACAGAGACAGAGAGAGATAGAGACAGAGACAGAGAGAGACAGAGACAAAGAGTGACAGAGGGACCAAGACAGGCAGACAGAGACAAACAGAGACAGAGACAGAGACACAGAGAGAGACACAGAGAGACAGAGACGGGAACAGAGACAGGCAGACAGAGACAGAGAGAGACAGAGACAGAAACAGAGACAGAGGGACAGAGACAGGCAGAGAGAGACAGAGAGACAGAGACAGAGACAGACAAACAGAGACAGAGAGACAGAAACAGGGACAGAGACAGAAAGAGAGAGAGACAGAGGGAAACAGAGAGAGACAGAGACAGATAGAAAAAGACAGAGGCAGAGAGAAGCAGAGACAGAGAAACAAAGACAGTCAGAGACAGACAGAGACAGAGACAGAAACAGAGACAGAGAGACAGAGACAGAGGGGCAGAGACAGGCAGACAGAGAGACAGAGACAGAGACAGCGAAACAGAGACAGAAACATACAGAGACAGAGAGACAGAGAGAAGCAGAGACAGACAGAGGCAGAGAGACAGAGAGAAGCAGAGACAGGGACAGAGACAGAGACAGAAATAGAGAGATAGAGACAGAGGGACAGAGACAGAGAGATAGAGACAGAGAGGGAGACAGAGAGATAGAAGCAGAGAGAGAGAGACAAAGACAGAGGCAGAGAGACAGAGAGAGAAGCACAGACAGAGACAGACAGAGAGACAGGGACAGACAGAGACAGAGAGACCGGAAACAGAGGCAGAGAGACTGAGAGACTGAGAGAGACGGGGTGGTTTTCCCCACAGCATCAACACCAAGCAGGGCTAGGATCACTGAAACAGACTCATCAGACCCGAAGCATGCGCTTTCTCGGGGTTTTTCTGGACTGAGGGGTTTCCTCTCATCCCAGTGTCCAGCTGTGGGGACGCAGGGGCCGCAAGCCCCGGAGTGTCCAGAGGGGAACGTGGCCTCCCCACACCCAGCCCTTCACGAGGCCTCAGGATCCCAGTGGGGGTACCCGAGGCTGCCCTGTCCAGCCAGGCGGTGCGGGGGGTTTGGGGAGAGCCTCTCCCCGAGGTCGGTCTCAGAGGGCCACATGGCCGGTGTGGGCCGGACATTCCCTTTCCAATGGTTGTGCCCACTTCCCTCCAGAGTTGGTGCCAAGCTGGGACCTGGGGGACTTGGAGTCTCAGGAAGTCGTCCGCTGTCTGCAGGGGGTGCATGGGGGATGTGGCCACACACGTCAGAGTGCGGCCCCCTGTGGAAGCCACAGACAGACACGACTCCCCTAAATGAGCTCGCCCTTCTGGCCGAGATGCTCAGCGTCCCCAGCAGGCTGCCCGACTGCCCTGCGATACTGCCCTCCTTCCTGCTGCTCCCACTTTCCCTTTCGGGGGGTTGGATTTGGGGCATTCAGGGATCGCCCTGTTGTTTGCTCATCACACCCATTTCCTGCAAGAGCCACGGTGACCGAGCAGCCTTGAGTTGAGGCAGCTTGTGGGTAGACGCGGCGGGCATCTCGGAGGGGCACGCTCCCTGCCACCCTCAGCCTCCACTCACTGGTCAGGGGCTTTGCGCCCCAGGGCACCCCAGGAACCGAGCCTCCTTTGGGGTCATGGGTGCCTCTCCTGGGAGGGCGTGGATTTTCCAAAGCAGTTTAGAGAAATGAGACCCACAGGCGTTATTTCCCATGGTGAGGTTCTTTTCAGTAACCCCCACCGTATAGCCAGGATCAGCAAAGAGAGGCGGCTCCTCCCGGTGAGACAGGGACCAGCACCTCCCGGACAGGCTTGGGTCTCCCTCCAGTTCCCCCACCTAGTCTCGAGGTCTCACGCTGCCCTCTCCTGTCCAGGGGCTCCCACCTGAAGGAGAATAAGTACCTGATTGTGGTGACCGACGGGCACCCCCTGGAGGGCTACAAGGAACCCTGTGGGGGGCTGGAGGATGCTGTGAACGAGGCCAAGCACCTGGGCGTCAAAGTCTTCTCGGTGGCCATCACACCCGACCACCTGGTAGGCACCGGCCCCCCCCGGCAGATGCCCCCAACCACAGGGAGTGGCGGCTGCAAGGCCCCCGGCAGCTGGGACCGTCTTTTGGTCCTCGGGAGGGTGTGGGTTCTCCAGCCGGCCACCCTTGCCCCTGAGAGGCCAGCCCCTCCTGCTGAGGAGCCTGGAGCGCCCCAGCCCAGCCTCCCCTCTGGCCCTGTGGGAAGCGGCCCCGGCCGTCAGGGGTCCCAGCCCTGCTCAGCCCACCCTGAACACTGCCCCCAGGAGCCGCGTCTGAGCATCATCGCCACGGACCACACGTACCGGCGCAACTTCACGGCGGCTGACTGGGGCCAGAGCCGCGACGCAGAGGAGGCCATCAGCCAGACCATCGACACCATCGTGGACATGATCGTGAGGCCCCTGCCCAGGAGACGGGGAGGCCCGCGGCGGCCGCAGGTGGAAAGTAATTCTGCGTTTCCATTTCTCTTTCCAGAAAAATAACGTGGAGCAAGTGGTAAGAGCCCTCCCCACCACCCCCAGCCGTGAGTCTGCACACGTCCACCCACACGTCCACCTGTGTGTTCAGGACGCATGTCCCTATGCATATCCGCCCATGTGCCCGGGACACATGTCCCCTGCGTGTCTGCCCGTGTGCCCGGGATGTGTGTCCCCCTGCGTGTCCACCTGTGTGTCTGCCCATGTGCCTGGGACATGTGTCCGCCTGTGCGTCCATCCGTGTGTCCGTCTGCCCATGTGCCTGGGTCGCATGTCACCCTGTGTCCCAGCCGTATGTCCGTGGCTTTCCCACTGACTCGTCTCCATGCTTTCCCCCCACAGTGCTGCTCCTTCGAATGCCAGGTGAGTGTGCCCCCCGACCCCTGACCCCGCGCCCTGCACCCTGGGAACCTGAGTCTGGGGTCCTGGCTGACCGTCCCCTCTGCCTTGCAGCCTGCAAGAGGACCTCCGGGGCTCCGGGGCGACCCCGGCTTTGAGGTGAGTGGTGACTCCTGCTCCTCCCATGTGTTGTGGGGCCTGGGAGTGGGGGTGGCAGGACCAAAGCCTCCTGGGCACCCAAGTCCACCATGAGGATCCAGAGGGGACGGCGGGGGTCCAGATGGAGGGGACGGCGGGGGTCCAGATGGAGGGGACGGCGGGAGTCCAGATGGAGGGGATGGCGGGGTCCAGATGGAGGGGACGGCGGGGTCCAGATGGAGGGGACGGCGGGGTCCAGATGGAGGGGATGGCGGGGTCCAGATGGAGGGGACGGCGGGGTCCAGATGGAGGGGACGGCGGGGTCCAGATGGAGGGGACGTCGGGGCTCCAGATGGAGGGGACGGCGGGAGTCCAGATGGAGGGGACGGCGGGGTCCAGATGGAGGGGACGGCGGGGTCCAGATGGAGGGGACGGCGGGGTCCAGATGGAGGGGACGTCGGGGCTCCAGATGGAGGGGACGGCGGGAGTCCAGATGGAGGGGACGGCGTGGTCCAGATGGAGGGGACGGCGGGGTCCAGATGGAGGGGACGTCGGGGCTCCAGATGGAGGGGACGGCGGGGGTCCAGATGGAGGGGACGGCGGGGTCCAGATGGAGGGGACGGCGGGGTCCAGATGGAGGGGACGGCGGGGTCCAGATGGAGGGGACGGCGGGGTCCAGATGGAGGGGACGGCGGGGTCCAGATGGAGGGGACGGCGGGAGTCCAGATGGAGGGGACGGCGTGGTCCAGATGGAGGGGACGGCGGGGTCCAGATGGAGGGGACGTCGGGGCTCCAGATGGAGGGGACGGCGGGGTCCAGATGGAGGGGATGTCGGGGTCCAGATGGAAGGGACGGCGGGGTCCAGCAGGCAGGCTCCGGCCGTGCAGGGTGTGGACTGTCCCGGGGGCGCTGGGGGCTTCTGAGGGTGTCTCTGTCCGCCCTGCCCTCAGCCGCACTCTGTTCAGAAGGACCTTTCTGGAGGTAGGAGGGTGAGAATGTGGGTCCCCTGCTTCTGTGTGGCTCACATAGGATGACCTTAAACGTTAGAATTAGCTGCTGATAATTAAAACTTGCCATGAGGCTGCTCATGGACCTCAGATTTCTGGCTTCTCCTAAAAACCATCAAACCCAGCAGCTGTGGGCCCGAGTCCCATGGCCATTTCCTGGGGGTCGAGCTGTGACCCTGGGGGGCTTCTGTGCTGCACGTCCCTCCCACCTGTGCCTGGGGGTCAGCAAAGCCGAGCAGACAGGAACGAAGGCAGGGAGTGGGGGGAGCTGGCGTGCGGGTTGGAGCTCCCAGACCCAGGCTGACCAGATGTGATGGGGAAGGTGCTTTAAAGCCCTTGATCCCTGAAGGCTGGATGAAGCGTCTTTTTAAAAACCTGTTTCGTGAGCCAGCTTTTTAGAAAGAAACGGGGCTGCCCCAACCTTGACCTGTTTTGTGTTCCAGGGAGAACGAGGCAAGCCGGGGCTCCCAGGAGAGAAGGGAGAAGCCGGAGATCCTGTGAGTGCCTGACTGTGGGGTGGGGGCCCTAAGAAGCTGGAGGCGGGGAACGACTAGGCCTCGGAAACTTCCGGAAGAGTGGCTGGGTTCTGAGTGCCAAAGTCACACTGCCTGTTCCTTGTGGGTGGGAGCAGACCTGGAGGGGCCACAGCCCAGCCATCCTTCCACACAGCCCCCCAGGCAGCCCGTAAGCCCCCCTGCCAGGGAGGGGCTGGGTGGGGAGGTGGCCCAGGGTGCTCAGGCCGGCACCGTCCGGGGCCCCTGCCGTGGCTCCTTGGCCCAAATCCTATCCATAGACTTCCCTCCCCCAGCTCCACCTTGGAGGGCCTCGGCACCATGGGCCCCGTGCAGCAGGGCCCCTCTCTCGGCCTGACCAGGCCTGGGCTGGAGGGAGGGGTGTGGGGCTGGGTGGGACTGGCCCCTGCCCCTGCTCCTCCGGGGGTGTCTCACCATCTCCTCCTGTGTTCCAGGGAAGACCCGGGGACCTCGGACCTGTTGGGTACCAGGGAATGAAGGTACGTGCCCCCCCTTTCCTGGCCCGAGCCCGGTGGTGCCCTCAGCCTTGCACAGCACTAACAAGCCTTCCTCTTCCTCTTCTTCCGCTGGGTGTGTAGGGAGAAAAAGGGAGCCGTGGGGAGAAGGTGAGTGAGGCTCGACCTCGGAGCTGGTCTCTCCAGGCGCAGATGTGCCATCCTGGACGAGGGTGTCCCCGGGGATGAGGACAGTGTCCCTGACAGGAGACCACGTGTCCTGCAGACCCGCTCCACCGCCCCTCGCCGTCCCCTCCATCTGGAAGGACAAGGACAGCCACCCAGGCACCCAGCAAAGGCGCCTGTGTCACTTTCACCCCACCCCAGAGCAGGGGTCCCCCGGGCGGTTACCCTCTGCGGAGCCGGGGGTCCCCCGGGCGGTTACCCTCTGCGGAGCCGGGGGTCCCCCGGGCGGTTACCCTCTGCAGAGCGGCCCCTCCCCATCACTGTCAGTCCCCATGATTCTCAGCAGTGATGTTGTCCCCTCGGGTTGGGGGCACCCAAGCCCCTGCCTCGCGTGGGCCTAAGCCAGGCTTGCCCTGCCCTCCCCACCCCAAATACCCCCTCACACCCGCTTCCTGTCTCCGCAGGGCTCCAGGGGACCCAAGGGCTACAAGGTGAGCGTGGGCTGCTGGGAGGGGGGAGTTCTGCCCCCACGGCAGCATGTCTGACCTGCATCTGACTCCTGCCTTCGTTTTCCCGCCTCACAGGGAGAGAAGGGCAAGCGTGGCATCGACGGGGTGGACGGCGTGAAGGTGACTGGGGGGAGATAGGATGGACGGGGAGGGACGAGGAGGAATGGGGCGAGATGGGGAGGGACGGAGTGGACGGCGTGAAGGTGACCCGGGGAGGGATGGGGTGGACAGTGTGAAGGTGACCAGGGGAAGGACGGGGAGGGACGGGGAGGGATGGGGTGAGGTGATCCCGGCAGGAGGGACAGGGAGGAGTGGGGTGGACGGTGTGAAGGTGACCCCAGGGGGGTGTCTGCTAGGCAGGGCTTTCCAGGGAGGGTGTGGAGGGCATGGAGGGCACCAAGTCTGACAGTTGATTGGCCTCAGTTTACCCACTTGGCCGTCAGATTTTCTAGTTTTCTTCCTCTTTCCAGGGGGAGATGGGGTACCCAGGCCTGCCAGGCTGCAAGGGCTCGCCCGGGTTTGACGTAAGTCACTTCCTCTCACTGATACTTTAAAACTAGCGCTGTCAGCAGCACCTCGTGTGGACCGTTTTGACTTCTGTCTGGGCGGTCTGGGGCTGCTGCCAGAGGCCGCGGTGGCCTCTGCCGGTGGTGTCATGCTGCCCTCTTTTCTCCAGGGCATTCAAGGACCCCCTGGCCCCAAGGGAGACCCCGGTGCCTTTGGACTGAAAGGAGAAAAGGTGAGTGACTTGCGGCCCCTGGAGGACCAGGGCCTTCACGGTTGGCCAAGCGCTGAATTGGAAACCTCTCCTGGAAGCAAGTCCTGGTCCGAGCATGTCGGCCACCCGTGCGGCCTCAGAGGGGAGGAGCTGGTGGAGGCTGGAGGCAGGCAGAGGAGCAGCGGGGACAGTGCCCACCGTGGGGACAGTGGCCGTGGCGCTCCCGCCCAGAGCCTTCCCTGCAGCCCGAGGGCCTTCAGGCCTCCGCCATTCTGTCCCCCGCACCTGCCGCTCGCTCGGCACAGATGGGACCCCACCGCGTCACTCCTAGCCTGCGAGCCGCAGCCCAGAATGGCTCTCAGAACTGAGAATGGGCTGGGTGGCACTGAGGGTGGCGAGTGGGCGGGAGGGTGGTGAGCGGGGGCGGGAGGAGGGTGGTGAGCGGGTGGGAGGGCGAGTGGGCAGCGGGAGGGCGGGAGCACGAGGCGGGAGAAGGAGCTTTTTCGTCTGACAGCTGAGTCTGCCGTTGCTGGTGTTTTCTCTGGAGTTTCTTTGTTGAAGCTGAAGTGTTGGGGAAGACAAAGGCGAATGCTGACCCCACCCCAAACATTCCCAGACGAGCTCCTAGAACCCAGCAGACGGTTTCCAAATCTCATCTTCAAGTTCCCAGATTACCCTCCAGGCCCTAGATTTGAGTTTGCCAATTTGCCAGCCTGGCAAAGCTGTGCCTTCTCTAATGGGAACCAAATCCTGCCCCTTAGACAAGATGGCCCTTGGCTGGGCCTCACAGGGAACAAGGTTGGAGCATTCCAGGAGGTCTTTGTGCAGGGTTGTGGATGGCTGAGGGTGCTGGGGGGTCTGGGCTCAGACAGTGTTGGTCAGAGGGAGTGGCCTGAAGTATGGGTGAGAGGCCCTGGATGTGGCCTCTGATGGCTGCACCCCTGGTGCACACCCCTGCCAGCGTGTGTGACTCCCCCGGTCTTCCCCAGGGCGAGCCTGGAGCTGACGGGGAGGCGGGGAGACCAGGGAGCTCGGGACCATCTGGAGACGAGGTGAGGAGCTTCACAGCCCCCACACATGCCAGGTATGGGCCCAGGGAGGGTCAAGGAGATGGAGCGACCATTCAACCCTTGTTCCCCACAGGGCCAGCCGGGAGAGCCTGGGCCCCCCGGAGAGAAAGGAGAGGCGGGCGACGAGGTGAGTGAGGGCTCCTGACACCTTCCTGGGGAAGTGCATGGCCTCAGCTTCTGATCCTCTTTGCTCGGGGTCTACTCCACGTCCCTGAGACCAAATGCAGTGTGTCCACCAGACTAACGCCGGCGTCTGTTTCTCTTCATCCCAGGGGAACCCAGGACCTGACGGTGCCCCCGGGGAGCGGGTGAGTGGGGCAGGGGCAGCCTGCGCTGTTGGCCTCACCATGTAGCTGTGGACGTGGCCTCTGCGGCCCAGTCTGGCCCTCCCAGCACTGAGAGCCATGGCCTCCTGCCCAAGACAAATGGGTTTCTTCACCCACACGTCCAGGATGCCTCTTCCCACAGTCTCAGAGCGGGTGGGACCTGGGGAACCAGGAGATTCCGGCCTCTGCAACCGTGGGGCATGCGGTGGAGGGGTGGCCCCTCCCAGGGGTCCTGCTGGGGGAGTCAGTCCAGGCCAGGCCTCAAGCCCCACCCCAGCTGGGTGTGAGTTCCAGCAGCTGAGGCTTCTCCCCTCCATGTCTCTCCACTCAGGGTGGCCCTGGAGAGAGAGGACCACGGGGGACCCCAGGCACGCGGGGACCAAGAGGAGACCCTGTGAGTCACAGTTCCTGGAGCTGGGAACCACCCCAGGAAGGGGCAGGCGGAGGCTGGGGCTGGGTCAGGCCTCCAGAGCCACAGGACACATCATGAAGCCCCTGTGGCCCCTCAACGTGGCCAGCCCATCCCCACGCCGTCAGGGAGGGCAGCCCCTGAAGCCGGCGCCCAGCCATGTGCCTGATGCTGGGACCTGTTTCATGTGAAGGCGTTGCCCGTGGACCCGGTGCCCACTTTCCCACCAGGCGGCTTCCACGTTTCTGCATCCGAGCTTGGGTTCTTCTTTGGAATAATTTTCCTTAGTTAAAATTCCCAGCGTGAGGAAGTTGGGTCAGTACCCCAGACGGGAAGCTAGGCCTGCAGGGCGCCTGCCTGGGAAGGCTTGACATGGAAAACTCACCCCAGAGCCGAGATGCCGGCGGCCTCAGAGGCCACCCCCCACCTTCAGCTCCGTGGACCGTGGGCCTCGCTAGGCCACCCCACAGCCCAGCCTCAGGGTGCAGAAGCACAGGGCCCTTCTCTGTCCCTGTGACTTGCTGGGAAATCTGTGCTGGATGTGGGGCGGGGCAGCTGGCAGACTCCGGGCGTCTCAGTCCCATCCGGCTCAGGGAGAGCCAGGGCCTGGCGGGCAGAGTGAAGGGGAGAGAATGCCCTAGTGTGCCCAGCCGAGCTGCCAGGCCTCAGAGGCAGCGCCCCCGGGTGCCCCCTTGTCCGAGAATCAAGACATGCGACTGTCGTGTGCTGTGACAGACAGGCGGGGCTCCAGCAGGGCCAGAGAGCTGAGCCGGGGCCAGAGTCGCCGCCACCGAGGGATTTGGCTCCCCAGTGGGGGGTGGGGGATTTCTGACCTCCTCCCTGGGAGCTCCCCAGAAGCGCACAGCCCCCGTGGAGGGGTCGGGGGGACGTCAAAGCAGGGATCGTGTGACTTAGTGACTCAGACTGCCTTCTAGGCCCACTCCTCTGAGATCAGGATATGAGACTGACAGCCAGGCAGAGCCCAGAGGAAGGGCCAGCCACGCAGCTCCAGCTTCCCGGCGGGCCACAAGTCCATGGCTACAAACACTTGCCGGGTCCACGGAGCTTGCTGGAGAAGCAGGGATGCACGCAGGGACGCCTCTGGGGCCCCAGGAGGAGCTGCCGGCCTCCTGAATGAAGATAGCCATAGCCAGCCACGCCGATGGCCACGCACGTGGGCCGAGGAAACGCTTGGCGAGGCCAGGAAGGGGCTGTGCGGGGAGGGAAGGCCGGAACAGCCCAGTGACCACCTGGACAGCATGCTGTGGCTCCCAGCGTGCCCGGGCAGCCATCCTCCCCAAGGATGGCCCAGCTCCACACTCACGGCTCGTTTCTCTTCAGGGTGAAGCTGGCCCGCAGGGTGATCAGGGAAGAGAAGGCCCCGTTGGTGTCCCTGGAGACCCGGTAGGAAGCGCTGTGGGGTTGGGGGGCGTTGGCCAATTTGGGTTTTGGGGGTAGAAGTGCTCCAGCAGCTCACGCACTGGGGGTCTGTTCATTTCCGTTTGAGGGCCTCTGTGTTTCCGTAGATCTCGGGGGTGTCCCTGCGTGGGAGCCGGCTGCAGGGGGTGAGGCGCGGCCTGGGCCGGGCTGGTGTGGATTGTTGAGAGCAGGCCCAGCGCCCGGGGGCCTGACGCTGAGACGCTCAGCCCAGGTGGAGAAGCGCTGTCTGGGGGCCCATCCGGGGCAAGGGTGCCTCACAGTGAGGAAGAGGTGTTGGAGCCCCTGGGAGACACTGGGAGCTTGGTCAGCATCTGTTTTTCTGGGTCAGGAGCCAGGCATGACTGTGGCTGGAGGTCAACTGGGGAGTGTGAGGCTATGGAGGTTTCCAGAATCCCAGGGTGTCAGGATGAAAATGCACTTTCATCTCATTCTAAATTCCCTTCTCCGAGCCTCTGGAATCGCTGTGCACGCCGCACGGCTTTCTGTCTCTTCCCCCATTCTGATGACTGCCATGATGGTGGCTCCAGTGTGGTGTTGCCCGCAGGCTGGGCTGGGCCGTTGCATCCTCCCGGAGCTCACCTGCCCCACGGGGACAGGAAGGCCTCCACACGGTCACGCCCGGAGACAGCAAGTCTGTGCTCCCGAGCTTGTCTGCTTCTGTGGACAAATCGACCTTACGGCTCCATGTGCGCAGCTGCCCACACACCGAGCACAAGGCCAGACCCTGGGCACGGCAGCTGTCTCAGACGTCCAGCAAGATGGGGCCTCAGACCCAGGGAGATGGGAGAGGCCGTCCCAGTGCAAGTCACATTTGTATTTCTGTGCACGAGGTGAAATCGTGCTTTTGTGGTGCCAACGGGTGTTACACAGCTGTTAAAAATACCTGTGTCATAGATGAGGACCAGGGCAGGGCTTGGCAGGCGGGGTCTGGGCCGTTCGTCCACCTGGTCCTGCGTGCCGCTCACGGCAGGGGCAGAAAGGGCTCCCGACACCTTCCTGGGGAAGTGCACGGCCTCAGTCTCTGATCCTCTTTGCTCTTTGAGCTCCCGGGGCTCCAGCCCTGAGGATGATCTGACCTCCCATGTGGTCACCCAGGACAGGGCCAGGTGCAGGGCACAGTGCGTGGAAGAGGCCATGCAGCCAGTGGCAGATTGTGGGGAGGGGACGGCCCAGGGCCACGTTCCAGGCTTGGGAGGCTGCTCCAGACCTTGGTAGCTGAAAGTCTCAGTGGGAATGAGCGTTCAGAGGCCAGGACTTGCTCGGAGAATTCTAACCACACCCTGCCTGTTTTATATGTTCAGTTTTCAAAGTAATCAATAGCCACTATAAGAAAAAAACAAAGCCACTTTCAAAGGGTTGTGGTAAGAGGCAGTCCTGTGAGCAGGCCGGCTGCAGGGCCTCCAGGGCTGTGGGGCAGGCTGCACAGGGGCTGGTGGGTCCCATGCCTGGGGGTCTGGGAATAGTCTCTAGGCTGCTGTCCTGGAGGAGGTTTCCCCCAACGCCTGAGACCAGGGCACCATGTGACCCATGACTCACAGTTGCCTGGCTGAGGCAGGCACTTGTTCACCTGGAGCCTCCCTGGGGCCTTTCGGGGCCCGGGGGTGTGGATAGGTGGCTTTGGAGCCACATTTGTCCATCGGGACGTTGGGCTCCCAGCTGGCCTTCCGGGCTTTCCCTGCTCCCAGAACCTCCCTGCTCAGCCCTTGCCAGCCTTACCCCTCCCCTCCACCCTGCCCAGCATGGGGCTCTCCCTGTGTGGATGCCAGAAGCAGTTGGGCCCTCAGGGCTGGTCCCAGGAGGTGCCCCCAGTGAGGTGCTCTGCAGAAACTGCCCAGTCTGGCCTCCTGCTGTCTGTGGCACAGTCTGACTGTGTGTGGTGAGGTCCAGGCCTTCTGCCTCCCACTTACCTGGCCCAGGGCACAGAGACCTCCTTTCCATCCTTCCTCCTGGCCCCCTTTTCGTGTTCCCAAGGCAGGATCTCAGGGTACCAGACTAACCCCTGTTGAACCCCAAGTTTGGTGAGCTTCTGGACCTCCTTGAGGCCCGTGTGCAAAGTCCCCAGTCAAGTGTGCAGTCCTGACTGCTGGGGCGTTGACCACGAAGGGTGCAGGAGCTTCACAGCCAGGCCTGGGTGCTTGCACAGTCGGGGTAGAGAGAGCAATACACTAGATGCCTCCTGTCTGCCTGGTGGAGGCCACGGGGTCAGGATGGTGAATGGGCCAAGTCTGGTAGTGGGGAAGTTGTAAACATTTGAACCACCGGACAGGCCTCATCGGGAAGCATCAGCCTAACCACAGGCCAGGGACAGGCGTCTGAGCAGGCACAGGCCAGGGACAGGCGTCCGACCAGGCTCATGGCTGGGGCCAGGTGGGCCAGGTGGGCCAGGTGGGCCGGGCGATGTGTACACGGCTCCCTTCTTGGCTCAGCTGGGCGCGCTGGGAAGTGCTTGGGGTGCCTGGGCTAGACTCCGAAGGGCAGGGACTCGCCGCTGGAGTTGTCCACGGAGCAGGCCCTCAAAGGTGGGAGCTGGGGCCAGCTCTGGAAATAGACCCCCACAGGGTCCTCATGAGATGTGGGGGACCCAAGGAAGTCCAGCAGGCAGCCTCAGGTGCAGGTGGGGGCAGGGTGGTGTCCAGGCTCAGCCCACAGAGGGTCCTGCGGTTGGGGGTGGGCTAAGGGGACCAGGCCAGGCCCAAAGGGGACCATGAGGGAGGGCAGTCTGGGGCCACTCTGATAGGAGAAGGGGCAGGTGGTCTGCGGCCTGGGGACCTGTAGCCTCACCCCTCCGTGGGGACCTGAGGCACCAGCCGGGCACTCACCGAAGTCATCTGGGACAGGCTTCACCCTTCCGTGGGGGCCTGAGGCACCAGCCGGGCGCCCACCAAAGTCATCTGGGAGAGGCTTCACCCCTCCGTGGGGGCCTGAGGCACCAGCTGGGCGCCCACCGAAGGGCTTCAACACTTGTGCCCAGGCCCTTCGTGCAGGCCCTTCGTCAGACCCAAGAGTGGGCCTGGCTCTCCCCCTGCACTGATGGGACTGGGGCCAGAGCCTGGGGGCCCTGATGCCTCTTGGTCTGAGACCCTCAGCTTAGGGTCAGGGAGGGCTCAGGCTGGGTGAGGCCTGTGGTCCAACGTGCCATATCCATCTCTCTACAGGGCGAGGCTGGCCCTATCGGACCTAAAGGCTACCGAGGCGATGAGGGTCCCCCAGGGTCCGAGGTGAGTCCCACTCCCCACCCACACCCGCCCACCCAGGGGGGCCTGAGGATCCAGAACCCACTGTCTGCCCAGTGCTGGCCCCGTGCCCTCTGAGGACTCTATGGCCCTGGGTGTCCTGGCTCCCGATGGGACCTCTCCCGGCCCCAGGAGGGCCCTGCTTCCCTCCAAGGTCACCATGCTAAGCCTGCTCCCCTCACGCCTCCTCTTCCTCCTCAGGGTGCCAGAGGAGCCCCAGGACCTGCCGGACCCCCTGGAGACCCGGGGCTGATGGGTGAAAGGGTGAGTGTCCAACAGCTCGGGCCCTAGGGCGGAGGCCTGGCCGCCAGAGGCCCTGGGAAGCCCCAGCCCCGCACTGTGGAGCTGCCTGGGGTCCCTGACCGGGCCGGGAGTGCCCGCAGCATCACTGGCTCCTGGCCACAGTCGGCACCTGAGCCAGAGGCCGCCTCGGCAGGGCCCCTCCTGCCCCGAGATCCGGGTCCCAGGGTCCACGGGGACCAGCAGGGTGGCCCCAGGGGAGGGAGCCGGCTTCTGGGCTGACGGAGGGGCCCTGCGGGTGAGGTGCTCCCGGGCCTGTGCCAGCCAGTGGGTATCCCAGGCCAGGCCGATTCGCACGGTGACGGCTACTCTGCTCCCCCAGGGAGAAGACGGCCCCGCTGGAAATGGCACCGAGGGCTTCCCCGGCTTCCCCGTAAGTGTCCGGAGGCTGAGCCCACAGGAACATGCCCAAGCTGCCTGCGGCGCCCTCTTTAGTGGACTGGGCACTCTTGGGTGGGCGGGCTGGCCCCAGGACCGCCGGCTGGCCCAGGAATTCCATGGCCGGGATTCTGTCAGCTCAGGCCCTTCCGCTGTGCGCCCCTCACAGCCTCCCCTCTCAAATCAGAACCCGGTATCACTGCCCTGCTTTTCCATGACAGGGGTATCCGGGCAACAGGGGCGCTCCCGGGATAAACGTGAGTACGCCCCCTCCTCCATCTGGCTGTGGGCACACAAACATTCACAGTCACAGGGACACGCACGTGTGAACACACATGTGCACACAGGCTCCCGAGCAAACACACGGGGTACACAGGCACCCACGGCTGCCCCACTGTCTGTGGCCACAGCCCCAGTTGGCATCGGCTCCTGCAGGCCCTGCGAGGCTCCCACTGTGGTGTGGCCTGTGGGTCTCCTCACGGCCCTGACTGCCCGGTGACCGATCTCCCCTCGGTGCGCAGGGCAGGCCCAGCCCCAGAGGCCGCCCCACGGCTCTCTAGGCCACTCCGGGACCCAGTTTCTCCAGCCCAGGAAATGTGTGTGGTGGGGGAAGGGAAGAGAAGAGTGCCTCTCTTATCTTTATTTTTTTCCTTTTAAAATTTCCACTTCCTAAAAACAAAATAAAACCCTTGTTAACCAAGTGCTCTCCCGTCACTGCAGGGCACGAAGGGCTACCCCGGCCTCAAGGGGGACGAGGGAGAAGCCGGGGACCCCGGAGACGATGTAAGTGTGGATGGGAGGCAGGGCCAGCCCCAAGTCCACCTGAGCCAGAGGGCTGGGCCCTTGAAGGGCAGTGGACCAGGACCCGCTTGGGGAGGCCTCATGGGCCCCGGCTGCTGGATGCTCTGTGGACGGGGCCAGCGCGCAGATGCCCGGGTGGTGCACGGTCTGTTGACACAACGCTGTTCCCTTCTAGAACAACGACATTGCACCCCGAGGAGTCAAAGGAGCAAAGGGGTACCGGGGTCCCGAGGGCCCCCAGGTGGGTGGATGTGGCTGGGTGAGGCCACGGTGGGCTGTGCCTGGGACGCCGGATGCTGGGGCTGGGGAATGCTGGAAGAGGCTGGGAGAGTGGGAGGCGGCGGGAGGGAATTTTGGGGAGCACGTCATCTGGGAGGCCCTGGGGGTGGGAGGTGCCGGTCACCAGGGCCAGGTGGTGGCCAGGGCAGCAGAGCCGAGCCCAGGGACACAGCGGGTCCTCAGGGTGGGGCCCACCTGGGATGGCCGCCTGGACCACCAGTGTGCGAAGCCCCAGCTGCCCTCACAGCACCGTCACTGGAGGACGAGGGGCTGGGTAGGGAGGGACCGGGCAGGGGTGGGCTTGATGAGGGGCAGGGCCCTGGGGGTGGGGGCTGTCTCAGCTCAGGAAGCACAGTGGGCTCCTCACCCTCAGAGCTCCTCTACTCCGTTTCTCGGACAGGGACCCCCAGGACACCAAGGACCGCCTGGGCCGGACGTAAGTGGGGCTCTGTGAACATTGCTGGGGGCGACCACTGTAGCTTCCATCCCTTGGGGTGTGGGTCCTGTCCATGGGTGCTCCTGTAGACGCTGCTCACGGGGGGGTGGGTTGTGGACAAAGAGCTGGTGCCAGGCCCTAGGGACCCGTGACGGCCATGGGAGGACCCGTGAGGATCATAGGGGGATGTGTGAGGACCATAGAGGGGACATGTGAGGATCATGGGGGACATGTGAGGATCATGGGGGGGACGTGTGAGGATCATGGGAGGACGTGAGGATCATGGAGGGGGACATGTGAGGATCATGGGGGACCCGTGAGGATCATGGGGGACCCGTGTGAGGATCATGGGGGGGGACGTGTGAGGATCATGGGGGGACCTGTACCCATGAGGACCATGAGGGGACCCGTGACGGCCACGGGGAGACCCATGACTGCGCTGTTTCTATGACCACGTCAGGGGTCCAGCCCAGTAGCAGGGGTGTAGTGGGCAGAGCCGGGCACACCTGCAAAGAACCTCCTGCCCAAACCCCGCCCTGTGGGGGCCCCAGGGAGGGTGACCTGGAGATCCAGCAGCCCACAGTCCCCGCTGGGAGGGGCTGTCTATGGCCCCAGTACCCTCGTCTCTCCCTCCCCAGGAATGCGAGATTTTGGACATCATCATGAAAATGTGCTGTGAGTATCTCTGAGAAGCCGTCCTCGTTAGGGAGAGCAGGGCCGCCAGCCTGGCCTGTTCCACTCCTAGAAGGGTGTCTCCACTGTTGGGGGCCTGGGTCTCTGGGTACATCCTTGAGGAGGCTCCTCAGCCAGCCCCTACCGGCCTCCAAAGCCCTCCCAGGCCCCCGGGTCCCCGCACAGGCTGAGAGTCCCCGGTGCGGTGCAGAGCTGCCACGTGGGGAGGGCGGCCGGGGAGGCGGGGAGGCGGGGCAGGAGGCCGGGGAAGGGGGGAGGCCGGGGAAGGAGGGCGGCCGGGGAGGCGGGGAGGCTGCCCCAAGAGTAAAAGCCTTTCTGACGTGCGCAGGACGCGGCCCTGACTGGTCTAACTGACTCTTTCTCTTCTCCTCAGCTTGCTGTGGTGAGACCCAGGCTCTAGCTCCTGAGAGAATGGATCCCGGGGGTCGGGGAGCGAGGCCTGGGTCCCACACATGTCACAGGACAGCACATGGCACTCTGGTCCCCGCCCGCAGCTCCCTGCACCTGCCCGCCCCCTCTGGGGCCTGCTCCAAGCCAGCAGGGTTCCCGGGTGTTGGGCTGGGCCCCGCCCTCTTTCACCCATAACTGAAATAACCAGGAGCAGGCTTGGGGGGGTCCCTGCTCCATCATTCTGGCCCACAGGCCCCACCCTAGCCTGGCTGAGCAACGCCAGCCCTGACCAGCCGCCGGACAGAGCAGCCTTTACGGGGCCATGGGAGGGGGTGGGCTTTTCTGGGGCTGAGACGGGGGGACCCCAACGTGTCAGGTGAGGATGTGGCAGCCAAGGAGGGGCCAGGGCGGTGGAGGGGAGGGGCCAGGGCACTGGAGGGGAGGGGCGTGCTCTGCTGACACCGCCCCCGCCTGCAGAATGCAAGTGCGGCCCCATCGACCTCCTGTTCGTGCTGGACAGCTCAGAGAGCATTGGCCTGCAGAACTTCGAGATTGCCAAGGACTTCGTCGTCAAGGTCATCGACCGGCTGAGCCGGGACGAGCTGGTCAAGGTGAGGCCTCGCCCCGCCCGGCTTTCTCAAGCCCAGGTGCACCCCGACCCTGCCGGCCGCCCCTGCCCGCGCCAGACCTCAGCCTCCCGAGGCCACCGCTGCATCCCTGTGACTTCCCTACTCATGACAAGGATGCCAGGCACGCGCCAGCCCGTCCAGGCCTCCAGCTCCACCTGGCGAGGCTGGCCCATTGTACACAGGCGCCCCAGATGAGGGAGGGTCTCCCCCTCTCCTTGAAGGGCGGTAGTCTGGGGTCCTGAGTGCTGGGTGTGGGCTTGTCCCTCGTGGACAGAACCCAGGAGGGCTTCATCCACCAAGGAAGATTGCTTTGCAGGGTACCCAGGTCCCGGGGGCTGTGCCACCCTCTGGGCACCCGGAGCCAATCGCAGGGTACCCAGGTCCCGGGGGCTGTGCCACCCTCTGTGCACCCAGAGCCAATCGCAGGGGACCCAGGTCCTGAGGTCCTGGGGGCCATGCCACCCTCTGGGCACCCGCAGCCAATAGAGTCACCCTTGGGAAGCTTATGCGGACCTGGGGCAGCACTCGCGTCCTGACCCCGGTGCCGGTCCCACAGTTCGAGCCAGGGCAGTCGTACGCGGGTGTGGTGCAGTACAGCCACAGCCAGATGCAGGAGCACGTGAGCCTGCGCAGCCCCAGCATCCGGAACGTGCAGGAGCTCAAGGAGTGAGTGCCCCACGCGGCCAGGACCCTCCCACCCCTCGCCCCGACCGCTGTTCCCACGGCAGGTCGGCCCTGACCCCTGATCCCAGGTGGGCTCGGCCCCGCGGCAGGCCTGGCCCCAACCGGCCCTTCCTGCCCTTTGCTATGCAGAGCCATCAAGAGCCTGCAGTGGATGGCGGGCGGCACCTTCACGGGGGAGGCCCTGCAGTACACGCGGGACCAGCTGCTGCCGCCCAGCCCGAACAACCGCATCGCCCTGGTCATCACTGACGGGCGCTCAGACACTCAGAGGGACACCACACCGCTCAACGTGCTCTGCAGCCCCGGCATCCAGGTGGGGTGGCCACCCCCAGGCTGCACCTGCCCCGCCTAGGGCGCCCCGCCAGCCAGGGTGGCCTTGTCCCCAGAAAGACGAGGGCAGAGCAGGCTGCGCCACACCGATACTGTCTGTCCCCACAGGTGGTCTCCGTGGGCATCAAAGACGTGTTTGACTTCATCCCAGGCTCAGACCAGCTCAATGTCATTTCTTGCCAAGGCCTGGCACCATCCCAGGGCCGGCCCGGCCTCTCGCTGGTCAAGGAGAACTATGCAGAGCTGCTGGAGGATGCCTTCCTGAAGAATGTCACCGCCCAGATCTGCATAGGTGCGCATGGGGCCACCCGGGCAGTCCCAGATCTGCGTAGGTGCGCGCGGGGCCGCCCGGGCAGTCCCAGATCTGCGTAGGTGCACGCGGGGCCGCCCGGGCAGTCCCAGATCTGCGTAGGTGCACGCGGGGCCGCCCAGGGCCGTCCCAGATCTGTGTAGGTGCGCGCAGGCGCCCAGGGCTGTCCCAGAGGCCTCCTCCCAGCTCACTGTTACCTCCAGGGGCACGGCCACCCTGTAGGTGCGCACGGGGCCGCCTGGGGCTGTCCCACAGGCATCCTCCTCCCGGCTCGCTGTGACTTCCGGGGGCACGGCCACCCCTGTGCTCGGCCGGGAGGTCCTGTGACATCTCCTTGCGGGGTTATAGGTGGAGCAGTGGGCTCACACTGCACGGCTTTTCTCTTTTACAGACAAGAAGTGTCCAGATTACACCTGCCCCAGTGAGTACCTCGGCGGCCGGGACACGTGGGGAGGAGGGCACCGTGGTTGGGGCGAGGGCTCTGAGAGGACGGGGCTCTGGGAGGAGGGCCTGGCGGTCACGAGAGTAGGTGCATGGCTCACTCCGGTGGCTGAGCACCACCGTGCCGTGCCCTCTCTGGGGAGCTTAGACGCTCTCTGGCCGGCCCACTGCGGCTGCATCACCAGGGCCTCATGCTAACGGCTGCCCACCCCGCCCCGCAGTCACGTTCTCCTCCCCGGCTGACATCACCATCCTGCTGGACGGCTCCGCCAGCGTGGGCAGCCACAACTTTGACACCACCAAGCGCTTCGCCAAGCGCCTGGCCGAGCGCTTCCTCACAGCGGGCAGGACGGACCCCGCCCACGACGTGCGGGTGGCGGTGGTGCAGTACAGCGGCACGGGCCAGCAGCGCCCAGAGCGGGCGTCGCTGCAGTTCCTGCAGAACTACACGGCCCTGGCCAGTGCCGTCGATGCCATGGACTTTATCAACGACGCCACCGACGTCAACGATGCCCTGGGCTATGTGACCCGCTTCTACCGCGAGGCCTCGTCCGGCGCTGCCAAGAAGAGGCTGCTGCTCTTCTCAGATGGCAACTCGCAGGGCGCCACGCCCGCTGCCATCGAGAAGGCCGTGCAGGAAGCCCAGCGGGCAGGCATCGAGATCTTCGTGGTGGTCGTGGGCCGCCAGGTGAATGAGCCCCACATCCGCGTCCTGGTCACCGGCAAGACGGCCGAGTACGACGTGGCCTACGGCGAGAGCCACCTGTTCCGTGTCCCCAGCTACCAGGCCCTGCTCCGCGGTGTCTTCCACCAGACAGTCTCCAGGAAGGTGGCGCTGGGCTAGCCCACCCTGCACGCCGGCACCAAACCCTGTCCTCCCACCCCTCCCCACTCATCACTAAACAGAGTAAAATGTGATGCGAATTTTCCCGACCAACCTGATTCGCTAGATTTTTTTTAAGGAAAAGCTTGGAAAGCCAGGACACAACGCTGCTGCCTGCTTTGTGCAGGGTCCTCCGGGGCTCAGCCCTGAGTTGGCATCACCTGCGCAGGGCCCTCTGGGGCTCAGCCCTGAGCTAGTGTCACCTGCACAGGGCCCTCTGAGGCTCAGCCCTGAGCTGGCGTCACCTGTGCAGGGCCCTCTGGGGCTCAGCCCTGAGCTGGCCTCACCTGGGTTCCCCACCCCGGGCTCTCCTGCCCTGCCCTCCTGCCCGCCCTCCCTCCTGCCTGCGCAGCTCCTTCCCTAGGCACCTCTGTGCTGCATCCCACCAGCCTGAGCAAGACGCCCTCTCGGGGCCTGTGCCGCACTAGCCTCCCTCTCCTCTGTCCCCATAGCTGGTTTTTCCCACCAATCCTCACCTAACAGTTACTTTACAATTAAACTCAAAGCAAGCTCTTCTCCTCAGCTTGGGGCAGCCATTGGCCTCTGTCTCGTTTTGGGAAACCAAGGTCAGGAGGCCGTTGCAGACATAAATCTCGGCGACTCGGCCCCGTCTCCTGAGGGTCCTGCTGGTGACCGGCCTGGACCTTGGCCCTACAGCCCTGGAGGCCGCTGCTGACCAGCACTGACCCCGACCTCAGAGAGTACTCGCAGGGGCGCTGGCTGCACTCAAGACCCTCGAGATTAACGGTGCTAACCCCGTCTGCTCCTCCCTCCCGCAGAGACTGGGGCCTGGACTGGACATGAGAGCCCCTTGGTGCCACAGAGGGCTGTGTCTTACTAGAAACAACGCAAACCTCTCCTTCCTCAGAATAGTGATGTGTTCGACGTTTTATCAAAGGCCCCCTTTCTATGTTCATGTTAGTTTTGCTCCTTCTGTGTTTTTTTCTGAACCATATCCATGTTGCTGACTTTTCCAAATAAAGGTTTTCACTCCTCTCCCTGTGGTTATCTTCCCCACAAAGTAAAATCCTGCCGTGTGCCCCAAAGGAGCAGTCACAGGAGGTTGGGGGGCGTGTGCGTGCGTGCTCACTCCCAACCCCCATCACCACCAGTCCCAGGCCAGAACCAGGGCTGCCCTTGGCTACAGCTGTCCATCCATGCCCCTTATCTGCGTCTGCGTCGGTGACATGGAGACCATGCTGCACCTGTGGACAGAGAGGAGCTGAGAAGGCAACACCCTGGGCTTTGGGGTCGGGAGCAGATCAGGCCTCAGTGGGCTGGGGCCGGCCACATCCACCGAGGTCAACCACAGAGGCCGGCCACAGGTTCTAGGCTTGGTACTGAAATACCCCTGGGAGCTCGGAAGGGGAGTTGAGATACTGCAGGGCCCATAGGAAGAAGTCTTGGGAGGCTCCACCTTTGGGGCAGAGGAAGAAGTCTTGGGAGGCTCCACCTTTGGGGCAGAGCAAGAAGAGGGCGGAGGGCAGAGGCAGCGAGGGCTCATCCTCAAAAGAAAGAAGTTAGTGGCCCCTGAATCCCAGAATCCGGGGTGCACGGCTGTTCTGGGGGCCGCTAGGGGACTAAGAGGATCGGCCGAGGGCTGGGCTGGAGGAGGGCAGCAGGGATGGGCGGCGAGGGTGAGGGTGGGGCTTCCTGAAGGCCTTCACCTGCGGGGACCCCGGCGAGCCCCTCAGGTGCCACAGGCAGGGACACGCCTCGCTCGATGCGTCACACCATGTGGCCACCAGAGCTGCGGGAAAATGCTGGGGACCCTGCATTTCCGTTTCAGGTGGCGAACAAGCGCCCCTCACAGAACTGCAGGTAGAGACGGGCCCGGGGCAGACGCAGTGAGGCGGTGGGCGGGGCCCGGGGCAGATGCAGTGAGGCGGTGGGCGGGGCCCGGGGCAGAGGCAGCGAGCGGTGGGCGGGGCCCGGGGCAGACGCAGTGAGGCGGTGGGCGGGGCCCGGGGCAGAGGCAGCGGGTGGTGGCCGGGGCCCGGGGCAGACGCAGTGAGGCGGTGGGCGGGGCCCGGGGTAGTCGCAGTAGGTGGTGGGCGGGGCCCGGGGCAGACGCAGTGAGGTGGTGGGCGGGGCCCGGGGCAGACGCAGTGAGGCGGTGGGAGGGGCCCGGGGCAGACGCAGTGAGGCGGTGGGCGGGGCCCGGGTCAGAGGCAACGGGTGGTGGGCGGGGCCCGGGGCAGACGCAGTGAGGCGGTGGGCGGGGCCCGGGGCAGATGCAGTGAGGCGGTGGGCGGGGCCCGGGGCAGATGCAGTGAGGCGGTGGGAGGGGCCCGGGGCAGACGCAGTGAGGCGGTGGGCGGGGCCCGGGGCAGACGCAGTGAGGCGGTGGGCGGGGCCCGGGGCAGACGCAGTGAGGCAGTTGCCAGCCTCTCTCAGCTGCCTCATGGGATTCGCACTGCAGCTGCGGCCCTGGCGCGACAAGGGCTGGACTTGGCCAGCGGGACGGTCCCTCACGGCGCTGAGGCCCACACTCTGCGTGGAGCCTCCCCGTGCCCAGGCTACCCTGCAAGGTCCTCGGAGAGGCTTCCTCCAGCCCCAGCCCCCACACAGCTCCGGCCCAGGCCCGCTCTTCCCCATCCCAGTTGCTTTGCGCTGTATACGGCCAGGTGACCCCGAGCCGGCCCTGAGCCCTCGTCCCGGCTTCCTCCCCTGTAAGCTGGGTGAAGGACTCCATGGCACCCACCTGAGAGGGTTGTGGCGAGGCCCAGGCCCCTCGTGCCCACACGGCCGGCGGCCCATGCCTGGCAGGGGCTGGGAGGAGGCTGGGGCGACCAGAGGGGAGCGGCCTGTCCTGGAGGAGGCCCAGGGACCCTGGTGAGAGGGTCTCTCCCAAGTGCTCTCTATGGGACCCCCTTCCTCTGCGCCCGTCCTTCACGGACCTCTCCGGGTCACCCCTGGGCTGCACACTGGGTTCAGGGGGGCCTTGAGGTGGGGCCCCTGTTCCCAAGTCCCGGCGGGGTTTCTCCTGAACCTCAACCCATCCTCACCTGCGGGCATTCCCATCCCCCAACGCCTGGGTCACCAGGATTCCAGGCAGGAGGGGCGGTGGGGGTTACCAAGGCCCGGGTTGCCATGCAGAACCCCCAGCCACCACGCAGACCCCCACGGGGCCCAGGGAAGCTCCTGGTCTCACACTGCACCTCACACTTCCTGTGGGGGCAGACTCCAAGGTCCCGGCCTCTCATCTTGTAGAAACTGAGGCACAGGAGGGACACACACTCCCACGGCCGGTCACCGTGGCCCCCACACCTCCCACTGGACTGACACCTGGCCAGGCTCCGGACACCCGTGGCACAGCCTCAGCCCCTGCGGCCCCTGCTCCGTGGCCCCCAGGCCCCAGCTCCCATGTGCACGTCCTGCCTCAGGCCTGGAGGCCCCTCGGCCCCAAATAATCAGACAATTCAACAGCAAAACTACTTTTTTCAGGCTGGCAGGACTCTGGGCAACCCCCTGCAACAGCCCCCTGCCCTATCACAGCCACCCTTGCCTCCCAGGCACGGAGACCCCACCATCAGGTCCCAGCCTTGGTTCATCCCCAAGCACCCTGTGTGTTGGGATGGCGATGCTGGCTGAGCCCCTGCATCCCCACTGGAATCCCTTGGGGGCTCTCTGGCCACCCACATCTCTCCCTCTCCTTCCCACTCCTCCCAGGAGCTGGGGCTCCGACACCCTGGGCTTCAGGGTCAGGAGCAAATCAGGCCTGGATGGGCTGGCGCAGGCCAGATCCAACTAGGTCAACCCAAGAGGACCAGCCCAAGGCTCTGGATTTGGTACTAAAACACCTCAGCCAAGGGGCCTTAGGGCTGCTGTGTCCAGTGTGTGCCCAAGACCCTCTTCCTGAAGGGATGTGAGAAGCCACGAATGTGAGTTTCCCCGTGCATTCGGCCATTCTCACACTGCTCTAAAGAACTGCCCAAGACTGGGTGATTTTTTTTGTTTTTTGTTTTTTTTTTTTTTGAGACAGAGTCTTGCTCTGTTGCCCAGGCTGGAGTGCAGTGGCGCGATCTAGGCTCACTGCAAGCTCCGCCTCCCGGGTTCACGCCATTCTCCTGCCTCAGCCTCCCAAGTAGCTGGATTACAGGCGCCCGCCACCATGCCTGGCTAATTTTTTTTTTTTTATTTTTAGTAGAGACAGGGTTTCACCGTGTTAGCCAGGATGGTCTCGATCTCCTGACCTCGTGATCCTCCCACCTCGGCCTCCCAAAGTGCTGGAATTACAGGCGTGAGCCACCGTGCGTGGCCAAGACTGGGTGATTTATAACGAAAAGAGATTCCATTGACTCACAGTTCCAGATGGCTGGGGAGTCCTCAGGAAATTTACAATCACGGCAGAAGGGGAAGCAAACACGTCCTTCTTCACATGGCAGCAGGAGAGAGAAGCATGAAGGAGGAACTTCCAAACACTTATAAAGCCATCAGATCACATGTGAACTCACTCACTATCACAAGGACAGCACGGGGGAGGCCACCCCCGGGATCCAGCCACCTCCCTCCCTCAACACGTGGGGATTACAATTTGAGATGAGATGTGGGTGGGGACACGGAGCCGAACAGTATCACCTGCTTCAAGAAGGGAAGTGCCTTGATCCCTGAACCATCCTCCAAGCTGGTGGCCGCACTGTGCTTCTCACCTGTGGCCTCCCAGGTCAGGAGGAGAGGCTAGGACCCCCTTTTGTTCTGGACGTTCCCCACACAGAACAGCTCAACTTTGAAAAAATAGGAAAGAAACCTTAGCCCATCAGGCCCACACTTGTTCCCAGTTTAGAAAAGTGATGTTTCAGATCATCACACCAAGTCTCCAGATAGGAGGGCAAAGCCAGTCACCCTGATGCTCTGAGTGGTGTTTCAGATCATCACACGAAGTCTCCAGATAGGAGGGCAAAGCCTGTCACCCTGATACTCTGAGTGGTCAGAGACCCCAGTCCTTCCTGGACCATCCACAGCATGGCTCCTTGACTCCTAGGTCAGAGCAGGCTCCTGCCTCTTCCTGGCCCCTCCTGTCCTGGTGCAGGAGGAGCTGGGACCCACTGGCCTCAAGAAGGCAGGGGGTTGGCAGGAGGCACAGAGCCCCGGGATCTCAGGCCTGTCAGGAGGGTCTTCCCCTGCAACCATCAATCCTGATCCAGAACCGTGGGGGCAGTGCCAGGCCTGCGCTCTCTCCTTGGGAGCCTCTGGCTGCAGTTCCCTCCCAGGAAGGGTCCTCAAGGGGACAGGGACCCAGGGGGTCTGAGGGGGCTTTGGGGCCTAGCAGACTGTGGGGGTCCCAGGTGTCTCCCCAGCGCCCGCTGCCAGCCTCCACCAGCTCCCCTGTGAGGCCAGCCCCACCCGCCCACCTCAAAAGCTACCCTAGATCCAACAGCCTGAGCTGGGGACATACAGGGCCTATTTGCCCACCTCGGGACCCCTGTAGCTGAGTGCCATCCTAACCACCATCCATCACCGGGGGTTGGGGGTGGACGGAGGCCTGAGGCCACTTTTGTTTTTCCTCCTGCCACTGCAGCTACGATAGCCCAACGCCGCGCAACGATGACAAACGACCTCAGCTGTGGCTTTGCTGTGACCCTTTCCTGGACAGCACCAGTGCTGGGGTCCTCACTTTCCTTTCTTGGATTTTGTTTCTCCTTGTTATGTTCCACTTTTAATCTTTCGAGATGTGTTGTCTTCCACGCATGTTTGCAGACAGCAGTACTCACGTTTCCAAACCCAATCCAATCATCTTTGCTCTTTATGGAAAAGTTAAACACATTCATATTTCAGACAAATGATATTTGGCCTTTTCAACGCATTTTTTATGCTACGATTATGGAAGCATGTGGAGGGGTTGTTTCCATTCCATCCAAGGTCAGTTTGCCTGTGCGGTTCCCTGACGCCCGCCCGAGGGAGACCTCCGGGTTGGTGAAATGACTGAGCACAGGTGTCCTCCCACCCTCCGCGCTGGCTGGTCCGCCAGCACTTTCTGCAGAGACAGCTTCTAGATGGCAGCGCTCCCCACACAGGTTGCAGACCATGTCCCTCTCCTTCTCGCAGCTCCAGGTGGTGATGCCTCAGGCCCTGCAGGCTGGGGACCACATCTTGAGTGAGGGTGCGGTGTCGCCTCAGGGACATGAGTTAAACTGTGAGAGACGCCCCCTCACACCCCTAAAAGGCTGAAGCTGGACTGGCAGCACCAGCGCCGGTAGTCTGCAAGGATGTGGGGTGACTGCAGCCCTCTTGCGGGCTGTGGGGTGCAGCTGCTTTAGAATCTCCCCTCCGTTTCTCAAAGCCCAGTACGCACTTGCCCACCTCAGCCAAGCTCCTGAGCGTTTGCCCAGATAGGTGAAACACAGAACTCATGCGCAAGTCCGGAGAGACGCGCACGGATGTTCACAGCAGCTTCGGTTGGTGAGTGGACTGGGAGCAGTTCCGCCCCCACCCAGCCAGCTTGAAACAGGAGGCTGAGCCTCCAGTGAGGTGTCGACGCATTGATTTCAGCTGTGAGACCCCAGCACAGGCCCCAGCTGAGCCGCGACCAGGCGTCTGACCACAGAGCCGGCGAGATGGCACGTTGGTGCCGCTGAGACCCCAGCACAGGCCCCAGCTGAGCCGTGACCAGACATCTGACCACAGAGCAGGCGAGATGGCACGTTGGTGCCGCTGAGACCCCAGCACAGGCCCCAGCTGAGCCGTGACCAGGCGTCTGACCACAGAGCCGGCGAGATGGCACGTTGGTGCCGCTGAGACCCCAGCACAGGCCCCAGCTGAGCCGTGACCAGGCGTCTGACCACAGAGCCGGCGAGATGGCACGTTGGTGCCGCTGAGACCCCAGCACAGGCCCCAGCTGAGCCGTGACCAGGCGTCTGACCACAGAGCAGGCGAGATGGCACGTTGGTGCCGCTGAGACCCCAGCACAGGCCCCAGCTGAGCCGTGACCAGGCGTCTGACCACAGAGCCGGCGAGATGGCACGTTGGTGCCGCTGAGACCCCAGCACAGGCCCCAGCTGAGCCGTGACCAGGCGTCTGACCACAGAGCCGGCGAGATGGCACGTTGGTGCAGCTCTGAGGCACTGCTTCAATACACGGTTGTGTTAGAATGAATACGCCTCATCTTTATCCCCAACCCTGTGAGCTCTTCCCATATTTCTAGTAGACTTTTCCCTCCCTCCCCCAACCCCTTGCTCCTGGAATGGAGCCACCATTCACCCAAGGTGGGTGCCCCTCCTTTCTTCCACGCGGAGTGGGGGCAGCTCCTTTGATGGCTGGTTTGCACGTCGACCATCCCTTCCCATAGGTCTCCTGGGGAAGTGACACCTTCCCTCCTCCTGTCAGCCCCAGGACCGACTGGCCCCACACACAGACCCGCGCAGGAGCAGCAGGGTCTGGACCCCAGGCAGTTTGGTCCATCCTGGGCTTAGGGGGCCTCCTGCTGATCTTCATTCTCTTCCTTGGAGAGGACAGGGCAGGAGCAAACACCTCCAAGGGAGTGACCTCTTCACAGAGTGACCTCTCCAAGGGAGTGACCTCCTCACGGGAGTGACCTCTCCGGGGGAGTGACCTCCTCACGGGAGTGACCTCTCCGGGGGAGTGACCTCTTCACGGGAGTGACCTCTCCGGGGGAGTGACCTCTTCACGGGAGTGACCTCTCCAAGGGGGGGTGTGTGCATGTGTGTGCGTGTGCACGTGTGTGCATGTGTGTGCGTGTGTGTACGTTTGTGCGTGTGTGTACATGTGTACGTATGTGTGCATGTGTGTGCGTGTGTGACTGCATGTGAGGATGTCTGCCTCCAAAAGTGGGGGTAACAATAGTGTGCAGCCTGTTCTTGTTCCTGACTTTGGCAGAAACGCCAAAAGTGTGTCCCACTAAGACACTGTTTCTATTTGTCCATAAAAATGAGGAAATAAATCTTGTTTTTCATAGATGGAGATGATTATATAATTAGCACCTTTGAAATCGTGGAAGCCTGGTGATTTGGGGTCAGGGATCGAAGGGAGCAGTTCTGATTTTTGTATGTGAATGTGTCTGCTTAGATTTTCTATATTTACTTAGTTAATTTCAGTCAGTCATATAAAACTGTCTTTTCTTTCAGGTTTTTCAGTGTTTGGGTCCGGTGTTACAGTAATCTTCTAAGATTTTTTTCCCCTTCTTATAGGAAATCACTTGGTGATTAGGCCACCAAGAACATCATTCTGACAATCATCGGAATTTTAATATGTCTGTGAATTGGATGATGGCATTGTATCAGTGGTATCAATGTTAAATTCCTGATTTTGAGCACTGTATGTGGTTATGTAAGAGAATGTTCTTGTTTTTAGGAAACACATACTGAAGTATTTAGGAATAAAATAATACTGACTCCACTCAGCGACGGGATTAGCTTTTGTTTAGTAGTTTCAATAAGCAACTTTGCAAATGTGCAATGGCCACAATGTTTTTAACAAAGGTTCCATTTGGAATAAATTTGCTAATACCACTTAAGTAAGAAAATGGGGTGTGTAAAGTAAAAATTCTAACACATAACTAACATATTTTGGTGTGTATTTTTACAGCAGTTCCATGTCTATTGTTTTCTGAATATCCAGAGTAACCCAGAATGTTCTAAAATGTAGGAGGAAAACACAGGACCTCACACAAGCTGCAGACTAAGTTTCTCTTGGGAAAAAAAGTGATAAATGTTACTAAATTACTGACACCCCCCTAACAAAGTTTGAAAAAATCGAGTTTTACTGATGGTGCACTGCCATGTTTATTTCTTCACACTCCCATAGCTATGAACATTGTACATAGTCCTTGTGTGGACACATACTTTCATTTCTTTGGGTAAATACCTAACAGTGGAATGGCTGTGTTATATGGTAGTTACTATTAACTTTTTAAGAAATAGCCAAATTGTTTCCAAAGTGATGCTACCATTTAACCTCCTCATCAGCAGTGTATGAGCACTGCTTCACACCCTCAGCAACGCTTGGTCGGATCAGTCCTTTAAATTTCAGCCACTCTCACAGATGTGTAGTGGTGTCTCGCTGTGCTTTCATTTGTATCTCCCTAATTACTAATGCTGTTGAGAATTTGTCATGTGCTTATTTGCCATCCATATTTTTTTTTGTTAAGTGTCTCTTTAAATCACTTGCCCATTTAAAAACATTGTTAGTTTTCTTACTATTGGGTTTTGAGAGTTTTTAATTATGTTCTAGAAAAGTGACTTTAGTCAGATGCATGATTTCAATAGTTTTTTTGCCAACCTTGTTTTCATTCTCATAACAATGTATTTCAAAGAACAGAAGTTTTTAATTTTGATGAAGTCCATCTCATCTTTTTGTTTAATGAATCCTGCTTTTCATATATGTAAGAGCTCTTTGCCAAGCCCAATATTTTCCTCTGTAAGTTTCATAGTTTCAGGTTTTAAATGCTCTGTTTTGAATTAATAATTGCATATGGTACAAGATATGGATCCAAGTTCATCTTTTTTCAAGTGGATGTCCAATTGTTCCAGCACCGTTTGTTGAAAAAACTATCATTTCTTTGCTGATTTTTATTAGCTCCCTGGTTAAAAAAATTAGTTGTGAATATACATTAGGATTTATTTCTGGACTCTATGCTGCTCCATTGATCTATTTGTCTATCTTATGCCAATATTACACTGTCCTGATTACTGTGGCTTTACAAGTCTTGAAATTACAGAGTGTTAATTTTCCAATGCTGTTGTCCTTTTTCAAAGTTGTTTTGGCTATTCTAGGTCACTTGAATTCCCATATGAATTTAAAATCAGCTTGTCAATTTTTATAAAATAGCCTGTTGGAATTTTGATTGAATCAGCAGACCACTTTGGGGATAACTGACCACTTAACAGTAACGATGGACACAGTTGACTTAGTTCATTCTGTGTTGTTATAAAGGGATATCTGAGGCTGGGTAATTTATAAAAGAAAGAAGTTTATTTAGGTCATGGTTCTGAAGGATGTATAAGGAGTATAGAGATGGAATCTGCTCAGCTTCTTTTGTACAGCTTTAGAACATGGTGGAGAAGGTCAGAAAGGAAGCGAGCACATGCAAAGGGGAACCAACCCTGATGTGCATCCTGACTTTATAGCCACCCACTCTCTCAGGAACTGGTGCATTCATCCAGAACCAATCCAGTCACCTTACAGACAAACATGCAGACCACAGCAACAGTATAATTCTCCATTTATTTGGATCTTATTTATCTCAGCAATGTTTTATAAGTTTCAGTGTATAGGTTTTGCTTATATTTGTATAGATTTATACCCTAAGCAGATCATATTTTATGTCAATATTGTAAATGGTAATTTTAAATTTCAATTTATAAGTATTTGTTAATAACAGATAGAAATACAATTGATTTTTGGATTTTGAGCTTGTGTCCTGCAACACCGCTAAACTTATTATTTGTAGCAGCTTTAAAAAGATTCCATTGGGCTTTCTATATAGATGATCATATTGTCTATAAATAAAGACAGTTTTACTTCTGTTATTCCACCTTAGATGACTCATTTCTTTTTCCACCTTGTTGCACTGGCTAGAACCCCTATTCCAATATTAAAAAGAAGCAGTGAAAGTGGCCATCCTTGTCCCGATCTTAGAGTTTCCCACTAAGCATAATGTTAGCTACAGGTTTTTCAGAGATGCACTTTAACAAGTTGAGGTACTTCCCTTCTATTTTGTGTTTGTTCAGAGTTAGGGTTTTTTTTTATTTTAATAAAGAACAGATACTGGATTTTATCAAATGCTTTTTCTGCATCTTTTGAAATAATCACAATTTTTCTCTTTTCTAGTTTGTTAATATGGTGAATTACAGTAGTTGATTTTCAGAACTTAAACCATCTTGTAATGTTCATTTATTTACAAATTTTTTAATGTTTTGTTCTGAGATAATTGTAGATTTCCATGCAGTTGTAAGAAACAATACAGAAAGATTCTGTATACCCTTTACCCAGTTTCCCCCAACGTTAGCATCTTGCAAACCTATAGTACAATGGCACAAACAGGATATTGACATCAACAGGACCATGATAAAGAACAATTCCATCACCACGAGGATCCTCTGTGTGGCCCTTTTGTAGCCATACCCACTTTTCTCCCACCTCAATCCCCTCCACTACTGGCAACCACTAATCTATAGTCCATCTCTATAATTTCATCATTTCAAAACTGTTATATGAATGGAATCATACTATCTGATCTTTTTGGATGGATTTTTTCACTCAGCATAACTCTTTGAAAATTTATCCATGTTATTTCAAGTATCAATAGTTCATAATTCTCTGAAAATTTATCCAGGCTATTTCAAGTATTAATAGTTCATTTCTTTTTATTGCTGAGTAGTCTTTCATGGTATGAATGTACCACAATTTGTTTAACCATTCATCTGCTGAAGGATATCTAGGTTGTTTCCAGTTTTTACCTATTATGGATAAAGCCACTATAAGCATTTGTGTACAGGTTTTTGTATGAACATAAATCTTCATTTCTTTGGGATAAAATCCCAGGAGTACAAATGTTGGGTCATATGGTAGTTGTATGGTTAGTTTTTTTTAAAACTTCCAAATTATTTTCTAGAGTGGCTGTATCATTCCCTCTAGCATTATGTTGATCCAATTTCTCCACATTCTTGTCAGAATTTGGCATTGATTATAGCCTTTATTTTAACCATTCTGATAGATGAGTAATGATATCTCATGGTTTCGATTTGCATTTCCCTGATGGATAATAATGTTGACACGTTCTCATGTGACTATTTGCAATTGATACATTTTCTGTAGTGAAATATTTCTTCATGTATTTTGCCCAGTTCCTAATTGAATTGATTCTTTCTGTTGAGTTTTGAGAGTTCTTTATATATTCTAATACTAGTCCTTTGTCAGATAAGTGATTTGCAAATATTCTCTATAATTCTGTAGTCTTTTTATCCTAATAGACTCTTTCACTGAGCAAAACTTTTCAATTTTGATAAAATAAAGTATAATGTATAATTTTTTTTCCTTTTATGTATTGTATTTTGGTGTCAAGTCTAAGAATACTTTGTCTAGCACTAGATCCTGAAAAAATTTTCTATGTTTCCAAAAGTTTTATACTTTTATATTTTTCATCTGGTTCCACAACCCATTTTGAATTAATTTTTATATAAGTTGTGGCTTAGGTCAAGTTTCGTATTTTTGCTTATGGACATCCAATTACTCCAGTACCATCTGTTGAAAAGCAGTTTTCCTCCACTGAATTGTTTTTGCATCTTTGTGCAAAACTGAGTACTCTTTCAGCTCTGCCCTCTCTTGCTTCTTTCCTTGTGAGACCCTGGTGGCATGCATGTCAGATCTTCAGTCAGTCCCACAGGTCCTAAGGCTCTATTCTTCTCTTGTTATTCAGATTGGATAATTTATATTATCTTCCAGTTCACTATTCTTTGTTTCCTTCATTCTTCTCCTTTTTTAATTTTTTTTTTTATTCGAGACAGAGTCTCGCTCTTTCATCCAGGTTGGAGTGCAGTGGCACGATCTCGACTCATTGCAACCTCCGCCTCCCAGGTTCAAGTGATTCTCCTTCCTCAGCCTCTCAAGTAGCTGCTTCATTCTTCTCTTGAACCATCTACTGAGCTTTTTATTTTGGTTACTATAGTTTTCAATTATAAAATTTCCATTTGATTCTTCTTTACATCTTCTATTTATTTGATAGGACTTTCTATTCCATTGCTTTGTTGAGGCTATTTTTTTTTCATTTGTTTCAAGAATGTTTGTAATTGTTTGTTGAGGCGGTCTTATCATCACTATTTTAAACCCTTTGTTAGATAATTTTAGTATCTGTCATCTCAGCACTGACATTTTTGGCTGTCTTTTTCATTCAGTTTGAAATCTTCCTGGTTCTTGGTATGGTTAGTAATTTTTTATTGAAACCTGGACATTTTTATACTATGTTATGAGACTCTGGATCTCATTTAAAAACTTGTTTTAGCTGGCTTTCTTTGACACTGGTCTAGCAAAGGGAGGGAGGGAGGCACTACCTTGTTACTGCCAGGTGGAAGCAGAAATCCAGGCTCCCACTAAGGCCTGTATTGATACCCAAGAGGAAGGGGGTAACTTGTTACTTCTGGATGGTGGCAGGATTTCTGGCTCACCATGTGGTCTCCACTGATTCCACTCTAGGGGAAGCCTCATTACTGTTGAGTCATGGTGGAGGTCTTAACTCCTCACTAAGCCTCCTCCACCTCACCCCACTGGGGAGGTAAAGGCTTACTTTATTACTGCTGAGTAGGAGTGGAGGTTTAGGTTGTTTGTGGTTTCCACTGAACTGTGAGGTGTGGGGTGTCATGCCTTATGATCAACTGGTGGGGATAGAAATACTGGCTCTCTACTTGGCATGTGACATCATTCTCATGCTCTACTTGGCATGTGACATCATTCTCATGAGCATGAAAATTTAGGCTCCCCAACTTGGGCTTTGCTTGCATAGGTGAGGGTGAGGCCACAAAGTTTCTGTCTTCCTAGGTTGTTCCTATCCTGGTCCTCTGGCTAGAAACAGTAAACTCTTATTAGGGATATTTTTGTCTGCCCTTTGGTGTTTCTAGGTTTCCAGCTTCTTCAGCTCCATATCTGGGATATACAAGGGAAAAGGAAAACCCAGGGAGCTCAACACCATATCATTCTTCAAATTCCCGTGTTCCTAGCAGATCTGCCTTCTTTGCTCCACCTTTCAGAATATTTTTCTATTTGTTTCACATATAATTTTCAGGGTCTTTTTGTTGTACTTGGCAGGAGGAATAGGGAAAAGCATATCTACGCCAGGTCCCAGAGAGGAAGTCTGTTCCATGTGGTTTTATTGCTATGTTATTTGGTGCATTAAGATTTCATGGTTGGCTGAGCAAGGTGGTTCAGGACTGTAATCCCAACACTTTGGGAGGCTGCTTGAACCCAGGAGCTCAAGACCAGCCTGGACAACATGGTGAAACCGTCTGTATTAAAAATACAAAAAATTAGCAGAGCGTGGTGGTACACACTTGTAGTAACAGCTACTCTGGAGGCTGAGGTGGGAGAATCACATGATCCTGGGAAGTTGAGGTTGTAGTGAGCCATGATTGCACCACTACACTCCACCCTGGGTGATGCGAGTGAGACCTTGTCTCAGAAAAAAAAAAAATCATGATCAATATACAGTGCTGTTTTAACTCACTTCATAATTTATGTCTTGAATTTAATCTGCCTTTGTTTCTCTAGGTTTTAATGTGCCCTTTCTGAATCACTTTGTTGTGGATGAATTTCTTATTTACTTGGACTTTACTACATCTTTCAATAGGTAAGTATATTTAATTTGCATTTGACACATTTTGTTTTAATGCCAGCATTTTACATTTTCTATTTATAATGTTTTATTTTCTAACTCTCACTGTATGAACTTCTTTCAGAAGTGGGATGTTTTCCTTATGGTGATCTGAAAGGGTTACACTGTTCAATTATTCCACTTTTTTCTTTCATATATTATACCCTATATTAGTCTCCCTGGGCTACAATAACAAAGTACCACAGAC
Organism: Homo sapiens; assembly: GCF_000001405.40. Lineage (NCBI taxonomy): Eukaryota > Metazoa > Chordata > Mammalia > Primates > Hominidae > Homo > Homo sapiens. The sequence continues at coordinate 46,018,581 of NC_000021.9, forward strand.
TGGGTGACTTAAACAACAGAAATTTACTTTCTCTCACAGTTCCGGAGACTGGAAGTACATCAAGGTGCCAGCATAGGTGATTTCTGGTATAGGGGAGGATCTCTTCCTGGCTTGAAAACAGTGGCTCTCTTGCCAGGTTCACACATGGAAGGAGATTGTGAGGGTATAGAAAAATATTTGGTGTCTCTAAGGACACTGCTCCTATCAGATCAGTGCCTGACCCTTATGACCTCATTTAACCTCAATTACTTCCTGTTTTAAATACGGCCACACTGGAAGTTAGGGCTTCAACATACAAATTTGAGAGAGGAGGAGGCACAAGCATTCAGTCCATAAAACACCCCAACACTCTTTTTGTAGATTTAGCACTTTAGACAATGTCTATTGAACATATACGTTAAAAGATAAGAAAAGCAGCAGACCTTCTCTTACCTACTTTTCTCACCTCTCCTCCTCTTACCTACTTTCTGATCTTTCCTGATTATAATTTTTTTTTTTTGGACAGAGTCCTGCTCTGTTGCCCAGGCTAGAGTGCAGTGGCACGATCCTGGCTCACTGCAACCTCTGCCTCCGTGTTAAGCAATTCCCCTCCCCCAGCCTCCCAAGTGGCTTGGACTACAGGTGCACGCTGCCACTCTGGGCTAATTTTTTGTATTTTAGTAGAGATGGGGTTTCATCATGTTGCCCAGGCTGGTCTTGAACTCCTGAGCTCAGGCAATCTGCTGGCCTCAGCTTCCCAAAGTGCTGGGATTACAGGCGTTAAGCCACCGTGCCCAGCCAATTCATTCTCATTTTTATTTTAGTTCTTCCTATGGCTCCCTTTAGAACTGTTACTTCTTGATGTTTTTCCAACTTAGAAACTATCTGTGCCTTCCCACTGTGAAAGACCAGTATTCTAATACACTTACACTCCTTTCCCCAAACCTCCTGATTTGTCAACTTCACCTCATAAGGATTTATGTCATTTTCTTCCGAGACTATCTAAAAGTTGTTGAGACTTGGCTTTCCAAGCTGGCAACCCCAGCCCTAATTCATAAGGAATCACCATGGGTCTGGTGGGGGCAGGAGGAAGTAAGGTGAGAAAGGCCACAATTCCTCTGAAATTCCCACCTCCTTTCCCATCTCCTTCAGCCCTCTCCTTTTAGAGGAATCATTGGGGGGCAGAGAGGGGGGCATTCCCTTGGGCTCTGACTTCTGTCCTCTCCCACTGCAGCTTCCAGGCAGAGTGGAGGCAGGTGCTGCTTTGATGCAAGGAGCTGATTTCCCTTCCTCCACTTTCAACAGTAAAGGCTGTTGCTGTTTGTCTTTTCTTGCTCAAACCGTTGTGGTTCATATCCTTGGGTGTGAGGGTAGTGAGACAGGGGGCTTCACCCAGCTCCCTAAACCAGAAATCACTGACAATTCTTCACAAGTACAGAGTAGGTGCTATGGTCCCTAAATTACTGAAGAGAAAACTGGGACTAGGGGAGGTGACTTGACTTTCTCCAGGCCCTCAGGCAGTGGATGGTGGGGCTATAACATGGAGCCTTCTCCCTCCTTGTCCTGTGCTTTTCCTTCTCCAGTTGGGTAGAGACAGAAACATTTTCTAACCACAAAATTAAGAGAGCTTCATTCACCAGAGGTGTCTTGGTGGAAAGAGCTCTCATTTTCTTTGTAAAAATTCGACAAGTACTGAGATGAAGGGCAAAAGTGTTGGCACCCATTCTCCTCATTATGGCTACTTCAGAAAAGGGAGTTGGCATAGGTGTACCTACAATGAACTGAAGAGTTTACAGTCACTAGGGGAAATGTGGGAGGGAAGAGAAAATGCTGAGGCTGTGGAGGGGTTAAGTCTGGGGGATAGCAAAGTGGACTTCAGAAGTCCAGGTACATCTTAGTGTTTCACAACATGAATACCCTCCGCCAGCACCCCATGTAGCAGAAAGCTTTTGAGGAGTGCCACATTGTAGAGTTCTGCACCCAGGTGAATATAGGGCAGGACTGCCTACAGCATACAGACCCTGGTCCTAAGACGTGAAATCAGGAGGAGAGTCTTCATGAAGTAGAAGACCCCCCCACCCCACCCCAGGAGAACGCTGGACTTTGACATGCCTAGACTCAAAGCCAAATGTATCTGGCTCTTTGAAGGAAGAGCAGAACTTGAACTTGACAGCTTCCTTGCTTTAGTCCTTGTTACTGTGCCAGAGGCGGCACAGTGCTGAGGTTAAGAGCATAGGCTCTGGAGCTGACCTGCATAGACTCAGATCTCAGCCGTCAGGGCCTCCATTTGCTCATCTCTGATGTGGGAGTAATAACATCACCCATGGCAGAATGCTGTCCTGAGGGTTCAAGTGATCTTTGCAATGCACTTAGACCAGTGCCAAGGGCGTGGTAAGTACGATGGGAAGTATTTAAATACAATGTGTAAAGCTGGATAAAAGTGTCTATCGCATGGCTATAAGATGAGGTGAGGCTGGATGCGGTGGCTCACGCCTGTAATCCCAGCACTTTGGGAGGCCGAGGCGGGCAGATCACGAGGTCAGGAGATCAAGACCATCCTGGCTAACACGGCGAAACCCCGTCTCTACTAAAAATACAAAAAATTAGCCGGGCGTGATGGCGGGCGCCTGTAGTCCCAGCTACTCAGGAGGCTGAGGCAGGAGAATGGCGTGAACCTGGGAGACAGAGCTTGCAGTGAGCTGAGATCGTGCCACTGCACTCCAGCCTGGGCGACAGAGCAAGACTCTGTCTCAAAAAAAAAAAAAAAAAAAAAAAAAAAAAAAAAAAAAAGATGAAGTGAGGAGGGGATGAAAACTGCCTCACTCTCTAGGCTGCTCCACGCATATGAGCTGCAGCCATCCACTGCTGCGCTTTTTGTTAAGACAGCATTCCTAGGTCAGATCCCCACTACTTTTGCCTTCATGTTGCTTTTCTGTGGGTTCTGTCTCCTGTTCAGCATATTTATATATCTTTTGCCAGTTGGATCTGAGGTTTCCCCTAGGGCTTGCGTTTGATCTCTTCTCCCAGATGGTTCCCAAATGTGGCGGAAAAGGCTGAGGTCAGCTGCCATAGTGCTGTTCAGACTTCCCTGTGGTAGAGCACGTACAGGATGGCTGAGCTGAGGCTTGCGATGTCTGAACCACTCCAGGAGACTGAGGGGACAAGTACGGTAAGAAGTCCCAGACACACAATGGACTTCCCATGTGTCAAGCTGCCTCCCACTAACTGGGGGCACAGAAATGACCCTGCAGACTCCAGGCACAAATCGGGAAGGGACCTGGAGCCATCACCTGGACTCGATGGTCGGCCATCTCCTCCAGGTGGCCTTCAGTCCCAACCTGAGCAGGCTTTCAGAGCAGAGGTCCTCTGCTGGCTTCACATGCATAATTTGGAGGTGGGAGAATCTTTAAAGATTCTGATGCCAGGCCCAACCCAGACCAAGTCACTCCCACCATCTGGGCTAGAGCCCAGGCCCAGCTAGCTGCCATTGACTTGGAGGAAAAGCAGCCCACAGGCTCAGGTCTGGGATGTTAGCATTCCTTACGTGATCTGGAAGCTACAAAAACCAAACAAAACACTTTGTTCAAACACCACATGGCGGAGGATGAGGGCCACTCGCAGCTGCGCACGAACATTCCTTCCGTGAGGGAGATGAGCTTCCTCGCGGCCTTTCTGGAGGACTCGGATTGGCAATACTTGCAATGTAACAATGTCTCCCAAACCAGCTTCCCGGAAAATGAAAAGCACTTCGGCATTCACCCTGGAGCAGGAGGAGCTTTCAAAACCTGCAACAGGCCCCAGAGCTCGAAGGCCCTCAAGGGTGGGGTTCTGGCTGCTGCCGTCCGTTCTGCTCCAGCCAGCGGTGAACTCAGTAGCCTCGGCGTCCCCAGAAACCCCGCCCTCGGAGCCTGGGCTCCCGCTTCCACGCTTGTTCCCCTGGGGTCCTGAGGGTGCCACCACACGGGGACAGGGGCTGCAGCGAGACAGCAAGTGCCTGGGGAGTCCGCACACACCACACGATAAGCAGCCGCAGACCCGGAGCTGAGGCTGTGGTCCCGAAGAGAAACCCTTCCCAGATTCCCCCAGGCTCCTAGTCCTTGCATCTCATTGGCTGGAGGGGCATCACGTGTGCATCTCTAAACCAATCACAGGCTAGATGCACGGTGGCCTGGCTCCTGCTTGGCTCTGGATGTGCATTTCCAGTGATGTGGGGCTTCCAGCGGCATCCATGTTCATCCACCTTGGGCTGCCCCTGCCTCACCCTCCCAGCTGAGTGGGAGCCTCTTTCTGGTCCAGAGCCTCCTGCTGGGCTGCTTGGTGACCGCCTGGCTTGGGCCACCTGGGCCCGCTGGTGGCGGTTTGCACAGCTGGGGCTGTGTAGTCCCCAGCGGCTGGCCAGACAGGCTGTGCCTGCTCTCACTGGACCCATGGGGTAACTGAGGCACAGGGCCGGGATCCAAACGCAGCACCGGGTCCACAGCCGGCGGTGTTGATGACTCCACTGAGCAGGTGGTTGGTCCCAGCTTGGAGTCGTCTGCGTCTGCCCCCTCCTCTGGGGAATCGGGGGTGATGGCATCACCCACACCCGTGTGGACGGTGTTGCAGGCTGTTACCTCACACGCCTCAATGTCCTGGTTCAGCCACCTTCTGAAGTGGATCCTCTGCCTTCCCATGTGTCGCAGATGAGGCAGTGAGGCACAGAGAGGTCAAAGGTGCCCACCCAAACAAACGCGGCTAGAGTTGAGGAGCCAGTGTCCGCAATCCAGGGTGACTGCATTCCGAGCACCACGCCGTCCACCTGTGCGGACGCGTCCGCGCTCTAGGGTGAGCTTCAGGATGGTGTCCAGGCCAGGCCTGTCCGTTATGTGTGGTTATGGCAAGTCTTTCCTAACTGTCCAGAGTTTTGATGGACTCAAGCTCTCTCAATATCAGGAACTTTAAAAAAGGAAAGAGTCCACCCAGGTCTGAATGTAGATGTTCCTGATGTGAGCAAAGAAAAAAGGAAACCCCAGGAGGGGAAGCTTATAATTTTCACCTCAGTGGCCAGGACCAGGGCAGTGTGGGCTGCGGAGGGTGACTGCAAGGCCTGGGGTCTCCAGGATGACTTAGGAGCCATAAAACTTCCTCCGCTCGGTTTCTGTCGTCACCGGTCTGCTTTGCTGCAGTGACAGGCAGTAAAACTGTTATCTTCAAAATGCCTTGTCTAAAAGGCAGCCAAGAAAGGAAAACCAGGGAAATGCATCCCATTCATGCTGATGTCAAAAGAAGAGGCGATTCCAGAAAAAAAGCCTTTGAAGGAGCAAGATAATGGAAACACAGCTTAACATGTGGTCCGGGACTTAGCATGGGAAAGGCGTCACTTTTCCAGAAGCATCTGGTTCAAAGTGTTGGTGTCATGTGAGAAGAACCAGCATAATACTGGACGGGGGTCTTGTGGGCAGGCTGTGAGGGGCTCTACATGACATGCTTGCTCCCTCATGCCTTACACTGCAGTGCTGAGTACCCTAAGACCTGAACCCAGAAATATCTGCATGTGGACCCAAAGGTATGGGTCAAAAGTGTGAAATGAAACAGTATTTTAAAGAATTAAAACTAGAAACAAAGATAATATCCATCAGCAGGGAATGGCTAAATAAATTCCAGCATATTCATACTGGAGAATAACATGCAGCCACTAAAAAGAATGGGAGAGCATCAGGGAAGTACAAGTTAAGACTTTATGAGGCCCTATCACATACCCAACAGAGTGACAGCACTCTAAAAAGGCTGATAATACCAAATGTGGTGAGGACGTGAAACAACTGGAACTTTCATACACTCCTGGAATGCGAAGTGATTCCATCATGTGGGAAAATAGGCAATTTCTGTTAAAGCTATATATACATCTCTTCATGATACAATCATTTCACCCTAAGCAAAGTTAGAAAAATCAGTGAAATGTCCAACAACAATTCACAGCGACTTCATTGATAACAAGCCAAAAACTTGAAGCAACTCAATTGTCTATCACTTGGCTAATGGAGAAATAATTGTAGTGTAATTCATCAATGGAATAGTATACAACAATAAAAAGAATAAGCAATAGAGACACATGACAGTATGGATGAATCTCACAGACATTATTTGAGCAAAAGAAGTCAGGCACAGTAGAGTACATACTACACACTTCCAATTATTAAACTTAAGAACCGGAAAAATCCAAACCATGATGCTAGAAATGAAAATAATGGTTTTCTCTGGGAGACAATATTGACTGGGAAGAATAATGATGGAAATGTTCTATATCTCGATATGAGCAGTGGTCACACAGTGTAAATATATCTAAAATTTATTGAGCTATACAATTGAGATTTGGGCATTTTGCCATATGTAAGTTATTCCTCAATTTTTTAAAAAAAGAAGACAAGGAAAGTTAATGATTAACTTTGATTTTTTTATTTTTTATTGTGCTTTTAGTACTCTACCAATAATGAAAAGGCATTACGTCTGTTTGAAAAACAAAGTATAAGTGTTTAAAGCTCTAAATTATAAGGTAAACCTATTTGTGTTCACATGAAAAAAATCCATGACACACTTTGACTGGAAAAAGAAAGTAGCAGAATGCCAGATACAGGAGAGTTCTGCTTTATATTAACATGAGAAAGACTTTGTTCCCATGAGAACAACAAGAGAAACTCAAACAAAATTAAAATTGTACTTTTCTAAAAGACTGGGGTGGGGGTCGTGGTCAGGCAGCAGCATGAAGAAAGCCTTGAGAACTGAATTCCAGAAAGAAACAAGCATAGGCAAGAAAGAGAGATGACAGCTCCCAGGCTTCCTACTGAGGTCTGAGGAGGATCGGCCTGCTGTGGATAAGAAACTTTATGGGGACAAAGTGCTGTCTGCTGAACTTTGGGTGGCAGTATGAACTGATGGGACAAATTGGAGTCTAGAAAAGCCACAAAGGCAAGGATAGAGCACATAACCTGAGCAATTCACCTTCCCCACTCCAAGTTTTGACATAAACATAGCAGTGGAGGAAGGGTGGCTAAGCAGAAATAAACCATAAGATCTCATACTTGCTGTGATTAATGGATTCCACACCCCTGCCTGAGTTGAAACTGCAACCAGCCCCCTCTAAGACCAAACACTGACAAGTCTGAAAAACTCTATCTCAGGAATTTGAAGTTGAGTAATCACAGGTTAAAGCTGCAATTTTTTTTTTTCTCAAGGAGATTCTAGGAGAAAGCTGAGTGATTGGCTTCTCACCCTCACTACATTCTGAGGAAAGGAAATGCATGTCTAAGGAACCAAAACAAAAATGCTTCAATCTTCATTATTCATTTATACACAATGTGCCAAACAACAAAAATATATAAAACATGCAAGTAAGTGAAAATGTATGGTTTATACTTAGAAGAAAACAAAATCTCTAGAAGGAGATGATTATCAGATGAACCAGTAATTGGGAAGAGAAAATACTAAAACAATTATTTCAAATGTGGGTGAACAAATGGTATATTTCAAAAGATGAATGTGAATACTAATAGACCATATGAAAGAAAAAAATCAATGGGTGGGCTTCAATTGTATAATGCAGAAGAAAGAATCACGAACTTGAAGGTCACTGGAAAGTATTCAAACTTTTTCCTCAAGACAAAGGAAAAAGATTTTTCAAAATATGAACAGAACTTCTGCAAAATGCGGGATTATAACAAGAAGTCTGAAATATAAGAATTTGGGATCTAAAAATGAGAGAGAGAAAATGGAAGACAAAAATATCTGAAGAATTAACAGTTTAGATAAAATGGATAAAAACCTTGAAAAACAGACCTTATCAAAACTAACCCAAGAATGAACAGAAAATCTGAAATAGAATTTATACTTAAAAACTTTCTAAAAAAGAAGACTTCTGATTCAAAACCTACAGACCAATATCCCTCGTGAGCATAAATTTAAAAATTAACAAAATGTTAGCAAATCAAACAACAATACATTAAAAGAGGTAATGTGTCATGACCAAGTGGAGTTTATTCCAGGAATGTAATTCAAAAATCAATAAAAATTTTTCACCACATTAATAGGTTAAAGGACAACATTCACAAGATCATCTAAATAAATTCATTTAAAACTTTGGGACAAAATTTAATATCTGTTCATAATAACAACTGTCAAGACACACGGAATAGACAGTGACATCTTCAACTTGTAAAATTACAGATAATACCATACTTTATAAGGAAATGCTGAATGTTTTCAACCCAAGATTGGGAACAGGGCAAGGATGTTGGCGTTTATTATGTCTATTCAATGTTTGTACTACCGAAGAGCAATAAGGCAAGAAAACTAAAATTCATAAAGATAGGAAAGGAAAATGTAGACCTATTTGTTCATAGAGAACATGATTGTGTACATAGAAAATCCTAAGTATCAACAACAACAAATTACTAGAGCTAGTAAGTGAATTAAGCAAGAACTCAGGATACAAAGTCAATATACAATCATCAAATGAATTTTTATGCACTAGCAAACAACAGTTGGAAAGCTGAAACCATTTAATGGAAAAAACACCATTAGTAGCATCAAAATAAAATAATATTACAATATTTAGGATTAACTTTAATGAAAGATGCACAAGAACTGTTCACAGAAAACTATAAAACATTATTGAGAAAAATTCAAGACTTAAATGAAGATATGTTCATGTTCATGGACTGGAAGGGTACATACTGTTAAGATGTCAATTCTCCCCTTTTCTTTTTTTCTTTTTTGAGACAGAGTTTTACTCTGTCAGCCAGGCTGGAGTGCAGCTCACTGCAACTTCTGCCTCCCAGGTTCAAGCGATTCTCATGCCTCAGCCTCCCGAGTAGCTGGGACTACAGGCACACACCACCATGCCTGGCTAATTTTTGTATTTTTAGTAGAGATGGGGTTTCGCCATGTTGGCCTGGCTGGTCTCGAACTCCTTGCCTCAAGTGATCTGCCCGCCTTGGCCTCCCAAAGTTCTAGGATTATAGGTGTGAGCCACCGTACCTGGCCCCTCCCAAAATTAATATACAGATTCAATGCAATCTCAATCAAAATCACAGCCAGCTTTTTAAGAACAGAAAGTCACAAGTTGATTCTAAAATTTACATGAAAATGCAAAGGACCTAGTAGACAAGAATTTTTGGAAAAGAATAACAAAATCAAAGATTTTACACTACCTGAATTCAGAACTTAGTAAAGCACTGGTAATTATGAGAGTGTAGTATTGGTGTAAAGGCAGATAAATAGATCAGTGGAACAGAATGTAGTTCAAAATGGACCAACACTTACATAGCCAGTTTATTTTCAACTAAGCCACCAAAGCAATTCAATGGGGAAAAGAAAGTCTTTTCAACAGACTGTGCTTGAAAAACTGGTTAACTATTAGGGACAAATATTTATCTTGATGCCTGCCTCACAACATACATAAAAAATTAATTCAAGCTGGCACAGTGGTGCATTCCTGTAGTCCCAGATACTCGAGAGGCTGAGGCAAGAGGCTTCCTTGAGCCCAGGAATTTGAGTCCAGCCTAGGCAACATAGCAAGACACCATCTCTAAAAAAATTTTTTTTTAAGTTTTTTAGCTAAAAAGTTTTTCCCTCCTGTCTTGAACTTGCAAATTCAGCCCTAAATATGTAGTGTTTGGCATGTGGCTTCCAGGCCAGATGTGACCCCAGTGAGGTTATCACAGAGCTCAGGGAACATTTTCAAAACATAATCCAGAATCTGACATCTCTTATAAACAGCTTTCATTTAAGGGGAATCTGCTGGATAGAGGACGGTTTGGCCTGCCAGGATTTTTGTAAGAGATTTGGTCTCTTCCTTTGCTCCGAGCTTTCTCCAGCTATGTTGGCATTAACCTCAGTTGGGCCACAGAACCAGTGTTACATACCCAGAGAAGCAACTAGGTCAATGGGGCAGCTGAAACCCACACATCAAAAGGGTTAAGTCAGTGCTTTTTATGTGAATTAATTGTCTTTTTGGAGCCCTTCTTCAAAATTGTTTTTTTAATCCACTGTGTAACACCCTGCCTTTAAGCAATAATGAAGCAAACAGGCATTATTCATAGCAGCAACCAAAGTCCACTAGGAGACTGCCATTCACCCCAGTGCTGGAGGAACCCAGCTGACCCCCACAACAGCAAATAGTAAAACCTCACCCTCATTCTTCAGCACTTTCTCAGGGATTTCTGAGGAACATTACTGGGACACTCTGGAATGAAATCACAAAGTAAGCCAGGGACTGAGCATCTGGCTGTCTTCCTTCTATAAATCTCACTGCCAGAAAAATAAAGGAGGTAGCTAAAACTGCAACCCAATCCACCTGTGGTGAAAGTAGAGACCTGACCCATCTCCCAACCAGTGATGCACTCAGGGCTGTAAATACTTGTGGGGAAGCTAATCTCTCCCCCATCTCCTCTCTCAGCCCCTGACAATTTGGTATCTGGGTGGCTTTAGTTTAGTTGTTTGCAGTCCACATCACCAGCCTCAACCCCCTATCAGCAAGCTCGCACCAAAGCACCTGCCCTGCATCTACTATGTACAGACATCTCCATATGCCCCATAAAGATGATGATGATATCTTCATTTTACAAATGAGCAAAGTAAGACTGAGAGATATTGGGTCATTTGTTCAAGACTGCACAAAAATCAGTGATGATTTGGATTCAAATCCAGGCCTGCCCAGCTCCAAAGTCTGTTCTCTTTCAAACAAACACGTCATTCTCCCTGACACTCCATTATCAACAATGATTAAAAAAGAAAGACTCCATGACCTCATGAGTGTACAGCCAATTAGGGAAGAAAGAGCATCATTATGTGGTGAAGTCCCCTGGTTGCTCTCGCCATCCACATTATCTAAGACCACAGTTGTGGGAAGAGGGGCGGCACCACAGGAGAGCACTTAGTGAGTCGTCCAGGGGCCTCGGTTCTCATTCTGGCTCTGTGCCAACCTTAAGTGTGATCTCAAGGAGCTCACTCACTTTCCTTACCTCAGATATAAAGCAGAGTCCAAGTTTTAAGCAGAAAAAATAGCACCCAACCCCCTGTCCCCCCTCCACACACACTCATACATTAGAGTTTAACTACAGAACCTCAGGGATAAGGATGGAATAACCTGCAAAGGAACAATTAGATCAACAGCAGACTTCTCATCCAGATGAATAGAATCAAGAAAACAATGAAGAAATAGCTCCAACTACAACCTATTTTATACCCAGCTAAGGTTTTACTCAAGAGTGAAGGTATAATAAGAATAATTGAATGTGTCCTAAAAGAATGAACTGTTGTTTTAAACTGGACTTTAGAAAAACTATAGTGGGCTCAGAACAATGTCTCCAGGCAGCAGAGAGCTCTCAAAGCAAGAAAGGTCCTCAGGGCAAAAATAAAACCCAGGTCATTGTCAGCAAAATGTAGTCTCAGAGTAAAGATGAAGCCACACATCTGACACAAAATTATTGTTAAGATTTTTGGTAGCTGGAAGTTGGATTCTGCTGAAAAAAAAAAAACCTGAAATTTTGTTAATTTGGGAAGTAGACAGCGGGCAGAAATCTGATGGGCCTTGATAAGGCTACTGGTTAGAGTTTAAAGAGAAGTAATTAAAATGTTCTTGGAAGTGGAGATAAAGGGAGTTCTTGTTACATGGTGTGGAAGTTTGGCAACACTGTCACCTGAGGGAACATGGAAAATAGAAAATATTCCTAATAAACTGATGACCTAGCTAAGGCAATTTCTGGGCAGGGGGTGTTGAAGATGCTTCCTGGATTCTTTCAGCTGCCTGTAATAAAATTCAAGAGCAAAGAGGTGAACTGAGAAACTTTTCAATTTTCAAGTAAAATTTAGAGAAATTATAGAGGAACAGTCTGTCTTGCCAGAATATGATTCTCAAAGTAAAATCAAGCTTAAGGATAAAAATCAAATCCAGGTCACTGTTCAGATAACATGGTCTCAGAGTAATATAAAACCAAGGATAGGACTATTTTAAATAGGGTCTTAAGAGGTCCCTAGTTAAGACCTCTGCTGTGGTCTGAATGTGTTCCACAAAATTCATGTGTTGGCAAATTGGTCCCCAGTGCGGTGGTGCTGGGAGGTGGGGCCTGTTGGGAGGTGTTTAGGTCATGAGGGCTCTATCCTCATGAATGCATCTGTGTTGTAAAAAGGGCTTTGGGGAGTGGATTTCCCTTCCACTCTCCACCGTGTAAGGACACTGCACGAAGCCCTTCACCAGATTCTGGTGCCTTGATCATGGACTTCTCAGCCTCCAGAATTGTAGGAAATAAATTTCTGATCTTTATAAATTACAGTCTGTGGCATTTGTTATAGCAGCACAAAAGGACTAAAGACAGCCTCAGAAATATTTAAAGTAATGCCTCAAAGACCATTTCAAATAAGTGACTTTCTAAGGATCGTACAGATGTGCCTTTTATGTTAACCAATAGATATTCTAAGAATCTGAAGATCACCATCCCACAGTAGCCTCACAGAGAACCTAAGGTACAGAAGAATCTTTTTTAGGTGTGGCCTTTTTTTTTTTTTTTTCCCCGACAGAGTCTCACTCTGTGGCTGGGCTGGAGTGCAGTGGTGCGATCTCAGCTCACTGCAATCTCCGCCTCCCAGGTTCAAGCGATTCTCCTGCCTCAGCCTCCCACATAGCTGGGATTACAGGCACGCGCCACCACACCCAGCTAACTTTTGTATTTTTAGTAGACACGGGGTTTCACCAGGTTGGCCAGGATGGTCTCGATCTCCTGACCTCGTGAACCGCCCACCTCGGCCTCCCAAAGTGCTGGGATTACAGGCATGAGCCACCACATCCAGCAGGTATGGCTTTTATCTAATGCAATTTATATAAACTAAAACCCACAATATTTCTAAAGGAATCATATCAACTTTATCTAAAAGGAACAGAGACGATACCAACTTACAAGAAGTCTTTGGGCCCCTGCACTTCTACAAGAAGGAAGTAGATAAAACAACAACAAACCTCAGCTGCAAACACTGGTCATTTCTTATGAAAGATAAAAGATGACTCCGAGGGTCACAGAAGCACTCAGAGAACAGAGCTGTGGCACGTGTCAGTACCTCACTTCCGGCTGTGGGTGAGTAACAGTTTACTCTGCGGCTACACCACATCGCGTTCGTCCATTCACCAATCGATGGGCACCTATCAGCTGAGTGATGCTGCTGTGCCTTTGTGTGAGCGTGTGGTGGTTGTTTTCAGTTCTCTTGGCCTGGGCCTAGGAGAGGAAGAGCTGGGTGTCCTTTAGCGCAGCTGTCTTGGTGAACGCGAAGCAGTACCTCACTGTGGTGTTTCCTGACATTTCCCTGACGTCTAACAACGTCGAAGACGTTTCCACATGTGGATTAGCAGTTTGTAAGTCTTCTTTGGAGCAGTGTCTCGCCGAGTCCTTTGTTCACTTCTAAAGTGGGTTCTTGGTCTTCTTATTACAGGGTTGTAGCAATTCTTCATATATCCTGGATTATAGACTGTTATGACATATGTGATTTGCAAATGTTTTTCCTATTTTGTGAGTTATATTTTAATTTTCTCAAGTGCCTTCAGAAGGACAGAATGTTTGATTTTTACGAAGCCTGATTTATCTTTTTTTTTTTTTTTGTAGCTTGTGCTTTTGATGTCATTGCTAATGAACCATTACCTAATCCAAGGTCCTGATGATGGCTGCCTCTGTGTTTTCTATGAGGTTTAGGTCATTGATTCATCTAAGTTAATTTCTGCATCTGGTGTGAGGTGGAACATAAATCCATGCTTTTGCACATGACTATGCAGTTGACCCCCCACCGTTTGTCAAATAGACTTTCTCTCCCATTGAATGTGCATCACCCTTGCTGAAAATCAACGGACTACAAGTGTGAAGGTTTGTCTCTGGACCCTACTCTGTTCCGTTTTTCCGTGTGTCCGTCCTTAAGCCAGCACCATGCCACCCTGATTACTGTGGCTTTGAAACTGGGACGTGTGAGTGACCCAAATTGGTTCTTACTTTTCCAGATGGTTTTGACAATGCTGCGTTCCTTGAATTTCCAACAGTGGGATCATACTTCACAATGAGATTTGGAGGAGACACACATCCACCACATAGCTTAGGAGAAGGGGCTGCAAGCCACGGACACAGGCAGAAGCTGGGCTCGGAGCTGGAGCTGGAAAAGGCGAGGACAGGGGTTCTCCCTGGAGCCCCAGGAGGGGATGGAGCCTGTAGGCACTTTGGTTTTAGTCCAGTGAGACCCACGTGGACTTTCATTGCAATGTAAACTAATAGATTTGTGTTGTCTTAGCTTTTATATTTACTTCCTAACTTCTTTTGGATAACAAAGAGGTTATCCAAAAGATCCATAACCATCTGAAAAGTGCTTAAAACCATTAGTTATCAGGAAAATATACATTTAAAATTACAACGAGTTACCACTACACACTCACCAAAATGTTCAAAATTAAACCATCAGTACAAGCGTTGGAAGCATACAGAACCACCAAACACCGGGCTTGGGAGGGGGCAGCTGACACACCCAGTCCCGGGCCTCGGAGAGGGCGGCTGACACCCCCAGTCCCGGGCCTCGGAGGGGGCGGCTGACACCCCCAGTCCCGGGCCTCGGAGGGGGCGGCTGACACCCCCAGTCCCGGGCCTCGGAGGGGGCGGCTGACACCCCCAGTCCCGGGCCTCGGAGGGGGCGGCTGACACCCCCAGTCCCTTTGGCAAACCGCTTCGCAGTATCCACTGACGCTAAGTACCCCTCTGACGATGACGCAGTCCCATGTCTAGGTATTTATGCAACAGAAACCTGTGCTTGGGTCACATGAGGACCCGTCACGAGTGTTCAGAGCAGCCTGAACCTGACAGCAGCCACCAGAGCTGGACCGACCGGCGGTGCTGCAGCCGCGGACCACTCCTCCACAATAAAAGCACTGTGAGGCTCACGTGGTGTCGATGAACATGGAGAATCCAGACACAAAACAGTGCCTGCGGTGCCGTCCGTCGACATCAGCTCTGAGACGGGCAAGGCCTAGTCCAGGAGGCAGCACGGGGTGCGGGGGGGGACCCACAGAGAGGCAGCACGGGGTCCAGGAGGCAGCACGGGGTGTGGGGGGTACCCAACGCGGAGGCACCACGGGGTGCCGGGGGGGACCCAACGCGGAGGCAGCACGGGGTGTGGGGGGGACCCAACGCGGAGGCAGCACGGGGTGTGGGGGGGACCCAACGCGGAGGCAGCACGCGGTGCCGGGGGGACCCACATGGAGGCAGCACGGGATGCCGGGGGGACCCACATGGAGGCAGCACGCGGTGCCGGGGGGACCCACATGGAGGCAGCACGCGGTGCCGGGGGGACCCACATGGAGGCAGCACGGGGTGCCGGGGGGACCCACATGGAGGCAGCACGCGGTGCCGGGGGGACCCAACGCGGAGCGGACTCGCAGGGCCTGTGCTTTTTCCTTTGGAAATGAGATCTCGGTTTTAAAATAGTTACAGATATCCACTAAGAATTCATTCCCTTGAAGTCCAGTAACTCCTGTTAGGGATATTTATCAACAAGCCAGCGTGGAATGTAAATATTTACTCAATCTCTGGAAGCCGTGTAATCACCAGGTGTTTGTAAGGATTCCCACTGACGGGAGATTAGAAGGGACTTTGGTTCGATTCTCTGTGCCAGGGATGACCCTGAAGAGGCCCCTGAGGAAGCGAAACCCTCCCCTGCCCAGCTGCAGAAGGATCGCGCCGCCGGGTCTCCTGCGGTGTGGACGGGCCTCTCCAGTGTGTGCCAGCCTCCAATACCCCCGCGTCACCTGCGGTGTGGACGGGCCTCTCCAGTGTGTGCCAGCCTCCAATACCCCCGCGTCACCTGCGGTGTGGACGGGCCTCTCCAGTGTGTGCCAGCCTCCAATACCCCCGCGTCACCTGCGGTGTGGACGGGCCTCTCCAGTGTGTGCCAGCCTCCAATACCCCCGCGTCACCTGCGGTGTGGACGGGCCTCTCCAGTGTGTGCCAGCCTCCAATACCCCCGCGTCACCTGCGGTGTGGACGGGCCTCTCCAGTGTGTGCCAGCCTCCAATACCCCCGCGTCACCTGCAGTATGGATGGGCCTCTCCAGTGTGTGCCAGCCTCCAATACCCCTGTGTCACCTGCGGTGTGGATGGGCCTCTCCAGTGTCTGCCAGCCTCCAATACCCCCGCGTCACCTGCGGTGTGGACGGGCCTCTCCAGTGTGTGCCAGCCTCCAATACCCCCGCGTCACCTGCGGTGTGGACGGGCCTCTCCAGTGTGTGCCAGCCTCCAATACCCCCGCGTCACCTGCGGTGTGGACGGGCCTCTCCAGTGTGTACCAGCCTCCAATACCCCCATGTCTCCTGCGGTGTGGACGGGCCTCTCCAGTGTGTACCAGCCTCCAATACCCCCGCGTCACCTGCGGTGTGGATGGGCCTCTCCAGTGTGTTCCAGCCTCCAATACCCCCGTGTCACCTGCGGTGTGGACGGGCCTCTCCAGTGTGTGCCAGCCTCCAATACCCCCATGTCTCCTGCGGTGTGGACGGGCCTCTCCAGTGTGTACCAGCCTCCAATACCCCCGCGTCACCTGCGGTGTGGACGGGCCTCTCCAGTGTGTGCCAGCCTCCAATACCCCCGCGTCACCTGCGGTGTGGACGGGCCTCTCCAGTGTGTGCCAGCCTCCAATACCCCCATGTCTCCTGCGGTGTGGACGGGCCTCTCCAGTGTGTACCAGCCTCCAATACCCCCGCGTCACCTGCAGTATGGATGGGCCTCTCCAGTGTGTGCCAGCCTCCAATACCCCTGTGTCACCTGCGGTGTGGATGGGCCTCTCCAGTGTCTGCCAGCCTCCAATACCCCCGCGTCACCTGCGGTGTGGACGGGCCTCTCCAGTGTGTGCCAGCCTCCAATACCCCCGCGTCACCTGCGGTGTGGACGGGCCTCTCCAGTGTGTGCCAGCCTCCAATACAGTCTTGTCCTTCAACGAGGTCTTAGGGACAAGGTACAGGGGCAATTATCTTGCATTCACAGCAACAAATAAGTCAGTATGATGAACTTTCTACTGTGGTCAGCTGGAAAATTTCATCCTTGTCAGCGGGCACACAAAGACCTTCCTTAGTTCCCAGTTAAAAAGAAAAGGAAAAACAGGAACTGTCGGCCCGGGTGTGTGCATGTAGCCCAGGGGCCCCACAAAGACTGACCCGGCTTCCATCCCTGAGGCCCCGCAGAGACTGTCCCGGCTTCCATCCTGAGGCCCGCAGAGCACTAGGCTGGGGGTGCGCCTGGGCAGGAGGCTGCACGGCAAAGGCACGGGGTGTGCCATGGAGTTTCCCCGGGAGCCGCAGCCCTGCCCACTCTACAGGGCCCCCGGGAAGTGACTGCCTTGCCAGACAACGGAATCCAGGGCCCAGCCACGGACAATCAGGGGAAGGCGTGGAGGGAGCGAGGAGAGACGGGAGCCGGGCATTGGAGGGATTACCAGGTTTGGGGTCCTGCAGGCAGAATTCAGGCGGCGGGGTGGGGACGCATCGCCCCCATAGTGAGCAGGGTCCATGCAGTGCAGCCCAACGGGGGCTTTGTCCTAAGGACTGTGGGCAGCTGCTGAGGGCGTTTGGGAACACCCCTCCCGGAGGGGTGAGGCGGCCCAGCCTGCGGCTGCCAGAGGACACAGGTTCTGCTGCGGAACCTGCAGACATGGCCATAACAGGCCACAGTGCTCGGGCCCACACAGCCTGGACCCACATGGCCCTGTGTCACCTCCTCAGGGGCAGGCTTCAGGGCCTCGACCCTAGAGGCTGCCCCTCGGTTCTGCTCCATGGACGGCGCAGGCAGGCCCAGGCCTGTGACGAGTTCACGGAAGCTCCAGGATGACCCCCGCTCTGCGCCCTCCTCCAGCATTCCAGACCACAAACCACTCTGGGCTAAAACGAGGCATCGCCAGAGCATCCCACTTCCTCGGAAAGCTGCGGTCTGGGGACGCGTCTTGGCCCTGAAGAGGCTCCAGATGGCTCCCATCAGGCCTCTCCGCCTACGTGCGGCCGACATGGAGTGACAGAGCGTCGGGGACACAGAATTCAGAGCTGGGCCTGGGGCTGCTTTGAGATACTGATGGCTGCCAGGGGGCACAGAGACCCGTCCTGCAGACAGGGCTGTGAGGGCCACAGGGGGCCTCGGGGAGAGGCAGTGGGAGGGAGGACAGTGGGGGCCTCCAGCTGGGTGAGCAGCTGGAGCGAGGGGGGCCCGGGGCTTGTGATGGTGCTGCCGACCCTAGAGGTGCCGGCCCCACGATGGAGAGCACGTAGTGCCCCCCGGGAGTCAGGAGGCCGGGCCTGACCTCGGGGGCTGCAGCCAGGGGAGGCCGGCACCCCAGATAACCCCCAAAGAACTGCAGGCCCTGAGGCGAGGCCAGAGTGGGGGCGGGGGCAGGTCCCAGCCGAGGAGGTGCTCCGTGCTGCCTCAGCAGAACCCATGATGGGCTGGCCCAAGGCTCTGAAGGTGGAAAGGCCTCACACATTCTGCCCCGGCTGACGCCTTCCTTGGGCCAGTGCTCGGGGGTGTGTAACAAACGCCAAGACGCATTGTAAAGAAGGAAGCCTGCGTTTCCATCACCGGCTTAATATCAAACAAAAGTGCAATTTTGAAAATGTAGTCCAAGGTTTTCTGTGGTGCGGAAATGGCCAGGCCAGACCTCCGTGGGTGGTCCTTCGTGTCCACGTCAGCGCCCTACATCCACACTGTGGGCACCATGACCTCACATGCGGAGCGGAGCAGGGCCGGCGCCCGGAGAGCCAGGCTGGTCACGAACGAGGCCTAGAGGGCGTCAGGCCCCAAAGCACTCACAGGCTTCTCCTCTGTCCTCGGGGCCTTCAGACACCTGCATGCGCCGATTCAGCCACCCGCGCGCGCCGATTCCCCTGGCCATGGGGTTTCCAAAGTGTGTGCTCAGAGGACAGTTTCCTCCAGGATGACCTGTCAGTGGCTCTCTGTGCCGGGGACGTCGCGTGCTGGGTCCCGGTCTGAATGCTTCCTAACGATTTACCCAGTTCCTTTTCTCCACTCAGGAGGCGTTTGCTGAGAGGCACAGGCTGAGCCCCCGTGCTGATGCCACGACCGAGGGAACGGGTCTCCCTGTCGGCGTGAACTGACCCGGCCAGGCGTCCACTGCCACTCGGACTGTCTCCCAGGCACGTGGCGCCCACACGGGCAGAACACGCCCTCCACACACGCGGCTTCGGGCAGAACACGAGGCGCCCTCCACACACGCGGCTTCGGGGCTTGTCATGAAAAAAGCTGAATGCTGGGGGTGCAGCTTTCACCAACAGAATCCCGTTTGGAAGGGACGCGGTGAGACATGATCCACCCTAAGTTGTGATCCTGGGTGAGCCGCCGTCCACACCCTGCTGAGGGTCCCTTCACCCACTTTATTCTCCAGAAAACCCTGCCCATCAGGGCTGAGTCCCACGCCTTCCCTCTCCGTCCAGGCCTGGCTTTGACCTCTGGGGTCGTGTGGGGCACAGGGGACACCCTATCCAGGCAGAGGCCCTACGGCTATCTGGAGGAAGTGGTGGGAGCTGGGCTTCTGCCTGGAGGATGCACCCAGAGGGGTCACAGTCCACACAGAGACACACGGGTGCCTTCCAGATGGCTGAGCCAGTCCAGCCCAGAAGGGCCTGGGGGTTGGGGGCTGCACCTGGCCTGTCCCCACCAGCAGGGCTCAGGGCTTCCCAAGGTGTGTGGGGGACGGGGCAGCACCTCTCAACCAGGTCACCTGAAACCCGAACTGAAAGGCATCCTAAGTTAAGACATTAACTCCCATTGTCAAGGTGCCATCGTCAATTCTGTCTCCAAATCCTTCTTTGTTATTTCATGTATTCACAGAGTGACGCTCCGTGTTTCGTTCAGCCTGCAGGCCTGCAGAAGCTGCATCTCGGGATGGCCAAGAGCCCGGCCAGGCCCCACGGCTGCACCCAGGACGGGATTCATGCCCCATGCCTGGCTTCTCACGACCACAGAGTGCCTTTCCCGGGACTGGATGGAGGCAGAGTGAGAGAAGAGCCTGGAGCAAGTGTTTTGGACCACAGTGATCAAACACGGAGCCCGTGGGAGGACGTGGGAGGACGTGCGGGGCTTTGCCGGGCGAGCCCGATGCTGCTCACGGCACCTGGAGTGTTCGGGCCGCTATTTGGGCGGTGTTCTGAGCAGCCGTCAGACCTTGAGTTTTGCTGTCAAAAGCTCTTCTCTCCTGCCCCGAAATATACCCAGTCCATGCCCCAAGAGGAAAGGCCTTTGTGCCAGGTGGGCACCCGGCTGCCTCTTGGCAAAGACTTGTTGGAAAAATGAGTGAGTGACGAGGCTGCTGGTCAGCGTGTGGCCTGTGGCGTCACTGGGGCCTCTGGCGGCTGCTGGAACCAGAAGAGGAGCCTGCGCTGCAACCCAGGCCGCACCACATCAGGGTCTCACTGGGAGCCGGAGAGCTTGTTCCCAGGCAACCCTGAAACAGAGAAGTGTCCTTGGAGGCTTCACCCACGCAGACCCACGGCTTCCTGGTAGAAGCCGTCTGCACCCCCGCACTGACCTGGCTCTGTGAGGAGAGCGGGGAGGGGCTCCAGGGAAACATCCTGGCGTTGGCGTAGCCAGCCTGTGAGTCACGGGGAAGCCGGCTGCCCGGATGCCCCCCAAGGACCCGGTGAGTCCACACACAGTACAGCAGGGCCTGGGCCCGCACCACCGCCTTTTCCTGCAGGCCCCTCATGTCCACTGACTGCACCTCCAGGGACTCTGCCCGGCAACCCAGGCGCCCCCGACACACCCCACCACACAGCTCCTTCTGCCTCACCCACACCCCGCCAGACCCTGAGCGCTCACGAAGTCTCCTTGTCAAGAACTTTGAGAGCCAGTTGCTAAACACAGATGTTATTTATTTATTTGAGACAGAGTCTTGCTCTGTCACCCAGGCTGGAGTGCAGTGGCACGATCTCAGCTCACTGCAGCCTTGGCCTCCCGGGTTCCAGCGATTCTCCTGCCTCAGCCTCCTGGGTAGCTGGGATTGCAGGTGGCCACCACGCCCAGCTAGTTTTTGTATTTTTAGTAGAGACGGGGTTTCGCCAAGTTGGCCAGGCTGGTCTCAAACTCCTGACCTCAGGTGATCTGTCAGCCTCAGCCTCCCAAAGTGCTGGGATTACAGGCGTGAGCCACCGCACCCGGGCTACAGATGTTATTTTTAAAATTACATAAACTTACAATTAAATACATTAAGTTAAATACCATGGTCACAAAGGTGCCTTCTGCCTCTGCATCTGCGCGGTGGAAACACCACTGCAGCGTTCAGGAGCTTCCTGAGGTGGTGTGTTCCCAGCTGGAATCAGCACTCGCGACGAATCCCAGGTGCTCTTCCTCAGGGCCAGTGGGTAAACAGTTACCAGCATGGTAGGCCTCACCACACCCCACCGCTGCCACCCGCGAGCCAGCCACGTCCCGCCCTCCACCCTCCCTCCAGCCCTTCCCAGGACCCTCTGCGTGTCCCTGGTCCTCGCGGCCTGCATCTGAGCGAGGCCCCCTCCATCCTCCCTCCAGCCTCTCCCAGGACCCTCTGCATGTCCCTGGTCCCCGTGGCCTGCATCTGAGCGAGTCTCCCGGGGGCTGCACAGCTGTCCCTGGGCCTTCAGCTTCTGACCGTCTCTTTGCTGCAGCTGGAGCCCTTTCTTGGGCACCTGCGCACACTCAGGGCTTCCACCCCAGATCTGGCGTCCCCCAGAGCAGCTCTGTCTTTGAAATCTTCTCCTTGGGGTGTCCTCTGTGAACACCCTCACTTCACCTCTGGCACCAGGGCCGCTGAGTGACCAACCTCTCCTCCTGGGGGTTCAGCTCCCTCTGGTTTCAGTCCCTCCCCACCCAGCGGGGACACGGCCACTCACTTCCAGGTGGGCTCCCCAGCCGAGGTCAGTCCCCAGGCCAGGGAAGACAGGCTGGGCGCAGGGACCAGGGGGGCCTGTGGGGGATCGTGGCAGGGAACGATGGCACTGCGGCCGCACCGTCAAAGCCCACAGGCCTTCTTCTCCATCATAGGTGGGCCGTTCAGCTGCGGCTGGGGTCCCAGGGCCTCCGAGATCCCTCTTTTCCATTCCCCACAGCATGGGCTCTGAGCCTTCCTCCTCCCACGCCTGTTTCCACCCCAGCCCAGCTCCCTTGTTCTCAGCAGAGGGCCATGAACTGTGAGCCTCTCTTGTGTGTTTGAGGGTGCCATGTGGTGGGACTTGGCTGTGTCCCCAGCCAGTCTCTCCGGGAATTGTAATCATCCCCACACGTCAAGGGCGGGGCCAGGTGGAGATAATTGAATCATGAGGGCGGTTTCCCCCGTACTGTTCTCGTGGTAGTGAATAAGTCTCGTGAGATCTGATGGTTTTATAAAGAGGAGTTCCCCTACACAAGCTCTCTTGTCTGACACCACGTAAGATGGCGCCTTTGCTTCTCCTTCACCTTCCTCCATGACTGTGAGGCCTCCCCAGCCATGTGGAACTGTGAGTCCATTAAGCCTCTTTCCTTCATAAATTACCCGGTCTCAGGTATGTCTTTATTAGCAGTGTGAGAACAGACAAATACACAGGGGAGGTTGGCCCACATGCTGCCGACCGACATCATCTGTTTAAAGCTGACTCCTTGAAAATCAGCTGTGAGTAAAGGGGGCGTTCCAAACTCAGGCCCTTAGAGCCAGCGTGTGTGGCCCAGTAGCCAGAGCACAGTATGCCTCTCGGCCAGTGGGACCAGGGGCTGGGGCAGACCCCGAGCTGGAGCCTGCATCCAGCCCCCGAACGTTCTCCCACTGCCATCTACTTGGCCAAGAGGTACCTGACCAAGCTTGGTACCTTGGAGAATGCCACAAATAAAAATTAGCCCAGCGGGGTTCCGGCATCTACTTACTGCAAACCCTCACTTCCTTCACACGTGTCTCTGCAGGCAGGTCTGGTCTGGGGAGTTTCTGCCCATATCACAGGCAGAGTCTGACCCTCCAATCCTTCTCTCATTCTCAGGTTCACAAAGCTGAGTGAAGTCCAAACAGGAAAAGCCCAAATAGAGCCACACTCAGACACACCACAACTCAGACACATCACAACTCGGACACACCACAACTCAGACACACCACAACTCAGACACACCACAACTCGGACACACCACAACTCGGACACACCACAACTCGGACACACCACAACTCGGACACACCACAACTCGGACACACCACAACTCGGACACACCACAACTCGGAAACATCACAACTGAGACACACCACAACTCAGAAACACCACAACTCAGACACACCACAACTCAGACACATCACAACTCAGACACACCACAACTCAGACACACCACAACTCAGAAACATCACAACTCAGACACACCACAACTCAGACACACCACAACTCAGAAACATCACAACACAGACACATCACACACTCAAGACACATCACAACCTAACTTCTGAAAACTAAAGACAAAAATATAAAAGAACAACAATTGAAATGACTGCAAATTTCCCATTAGAAACCATGGAAGCAGCTGCGCACAGTGGCTCACACCTGTAATCCTAACA
Source organism: Homo sapiens (assembly GCF_000001405.40). Classification (NCBI taxonomy): domain Eukaryota; kingdom Metazoa; phylum Chordata; class Mammalia; order Primates; family Hominidae; genus Homo; species Homo sapiens. The sequence continues at coordinate 46,042,139 of NC_000021.9, forward strand.
CTTTGGGAGACTGAGGCAGATGGATATCACCTGAGGCCAGGAGTTCGAGGCCAACCTGGCCAACATGGCAAAAGCCCATCTCTACTAAAAATGCAAAAATTAGCCAGGTGTGGTGCACACCTGTAGTCCCAGATACTTAGGAGACTGAGGCAGGAGAATCACTTAAACCTCAGAGGCGGAGGCTGCAGTGAGCCAAGATCGCGCCACTGCACTCCAGCCTGCGCAACGGAGTGAAAAGAAAAAAGAAAAAAAGAAACCATGGAAGCCAGGAAAAAGTGGCACTTTGAGACGGAGCCTTGGCTCACTGCAGCCTCCGCCTCCCAGGTTGAAACAATTCTCCTTCCTCAGCCTCCTGAGTAGCTGGGATTACAGGCGCCTGCAACCACGCCCAGCTAATTTTTATATTTTTAGTACAGACGGAGTTTCACCATGTTTGCCATGCTGGTCTCAAACTCCTGACCTCAGGTGATACGCCTACCTCAGCCTCCCAAAGTGCTGGGATTACAGGCATGAGCCACTACGCCCAACCTGGCACATTGTTTAATTGCTGAAAGAAAATAATTATCAGTTCAGGAGTCTATATCCAGCAAAAATATCCTTCAGGGATGAGGGTGAAATGGAGACATTCTCAGATGAAGAAAAACTAAGAAAATTTGCTGCCAGCACATATACCCTAAAAGAATGCCTAAAAGAGTTTTTTCAGATAGAAAAACATCAGGAATGAAGGAAGAGCAACAAAAATGATAAATATTGAGGAAATGTAATAGACTGTTCTTCAGTTCTTTAAAATAATGTTTGATGATGAAAAGCAAGTACTGTAGTATTGTTGGGCGGAGTTTCAGCACATGCAGATGTATCAACTAAGACGGACTGCAGCATGAAAGATGCAGGTCCAGGAAGCTACACGGTGGCAAGAGTTCCACAAAACACTTGAAATGCTAAAATACTGATTCCAAGGAGACTGTGAAAGGTGAAGTATGCATATGGTAATCCCCAGAAAACCAGTAAATATTCTACAGAGCTATATCATCAACAACACAATAGGTAGCTTAACATACTGAAAAATGTTCAAATAACCAAAAGACAGGAATGAAAAGACAAAAGAACAAAAAAATGGAGGAAATAAGCAGAAAACAAATAATAAAATGGTAGGTTTGAATCCAAACATATCAATAATGACATTAAATGTAACTGGTCTAAATTAAAAGACAGAGACCTGGTGCCATGGCTCGTACCTGTCATCCCAGCACTTTGGGAGGCCAAGGCAAGAGGATCACTTGAGGCCAGGAGTTCAAGACCAGCCTGGGCAATACAGTGGGACGCTGTCTCTACAGATTTTTTTTTTAATTACCCAGGCATATGGTGTGCGCCTGTGGTCCCAGCTAGTCAGGAGGCCAGGGTGGGAGGATCGCTTGAGCCCAGGAGGTCGAGGCTGCAGTGATGTGATCATGATACTGTACTCCGGCCTGGGCAACAGAGTGAGACCGTATCTCTACAAAAAAAATTAAAAATTAAAAAAGACAGATGGTCACAATGGATTTCTTTAAATGACCCACCTATATTTCTACCCTCAAGAAACTCACTTCAAAGATAATATTGGTAGGTCAGTGTTAAAAGGATAGAAAAAGATATATCATCATGCAGGCACAAATTTTAATAAACTGAACTGCCTATATTAATATCAGATAAAGTGGACTTCAGAGAAAAGAAAATTATCGGCAGCAAAGAGGTAAATTACGTGATGATAAAAGGGTCAATTCAGCCTGTAATCTCAGCACTTTGGGAGAGGATGGTCATCGAGACCATCCTGGCTAACACGGTGAAACCTCGTCTCTACTGAAAATACAAAAAAAAAAAAAAAAAGCCGGGCATGGTGGCGGGCGCTGTAGTCCCAGCTACTCGGGAGGCTGAGGCAGGAGAATGGCGTGAACCTGGGAGGTGGAGCTTACAGTGAGCAGAGATCACGCCACTGCACTCCAGCCTGGGCGACAGAGCGAGACTCTGTCTGAAAAAAAAAAAAAAAGGGTCAATTCACCAAAAAGATATAACAATCCTGAGTGTGTGTACAACTTAGAACACAGGTTCCAAGTATGTGAAGCAAAACCCATGAGACAGAAATGGAATAAATCCGGAATTATAGTTGGAGACCTCAACACTTCTGTCCCAGAGCAAACAGACAGAAAATCATCAAGGGCATAGAACTGAACATCACCATCAACCAACTTGATCTAATTGAATTTATGGAACACTCCACCCAACCAGAGCAGAAAACAAAGACTTCTCAAGGGCACCTGGAACATTTACCAAGAGAGGCGGGTGATGCCCAGAGTCATTAAAAAATCTTAGGCCAGCCAGGCGTGGTGTCTGGTGCCTGTAATCCTGGCACTTTGGGAGGACAAGGTGGGAGGATTGCTTGAGGCCAGGAGTTCAAGGCCAGCCTGGGTGACATAGTGAGACCCTGTCTCTATTTTTTTTAATCTTAAATAAATCTGAAAGAAATGAATCATACGAAGTATGTTCTCTGATTATAATGAAATTAAACTAGTTATAACAGAGATACATGCTTAAAAGTTAAGCACTGTACTGCTTAAAAGCTGGTTAAAAGTTAAGCACCGTACCACTAAATAATCCAGAAAGAGAAAGTCTCTAGGGAATTTAAAGATAATATTTAACTGAACAAAAATGAAAATATATAAAAACCTGAAGTATGTAACTAAAGTAGTGATTGGAGGAAAAGTTACAACACTAAATGTCTATATTACGAAAGAAGAAAGATCTCAAAAGAATAATCCAAGCTTTCACCTCAAGAAATTATTTTGAGACAGCAAAATAAACCCAAAGCAAGTAGAACAAAGGAACAGAAATCAATGAAACTTAAAACATGATGGAGAAAATCAGTGGAAAGAGAGCTGGTTTCTGAGACAATTAATAAAATCATAAAACTTTAGCAAAATTGACAAAAAATGAGAGAATAAATAATATCAGGAATAAAAGAAGGGATATCAAAATTATAGACTCTGTAGACGTTAAAAGGAAAACAGAATACTACAAATCTACACACACAGATTCAACACATTGCATGAAATTAACCAATTACTCAAAAACAGCAAGCTACCAAAACATCTCCAAGTGGAACAGATAATCCAAATAGTTCTATAACTCTTAAATAAATGGAATTTCTTTAATAAATTCCTTAGTTAACATGCCTTCCAAAAAAGAAATATCCAGGCCCGGATGGTTTCACCATCTGGTGAATTCTACCAAACATTTAAAGAGGAAATAGTACCAATTCCATCTAATATCTTCCAGAAAATAGAAGAAAGAGCACTTCCTGTGTGATTATATGAAACCAATATTACCCTGACACCAAAAGAAGACAAAAACAACATTTTAAAATGGCACACTAATATCTGTCATGAACAAAGATGCAAAAATCATCAACAAACTTAGCAAATCGAATACAGAAATATATAAAAATAATTATAAGCCATGATCATGTAGGATTTATTCCAGGAATGCAAATGCTCTTCGACAGTTGACGGGGTAAATAAACTTGGACATCCACACAGGGAATACTACTCGGTAACATGAAGGAACAACTATTGAGACATGCAACAATTTAATGGATCTTAAATGCATTATACTCAATGAAAAAGGCCAATCTCTCTCTCTCTTTTTTTCTCTCTCTCTATATGTATATATTTTATCCTATATAGTTTCATTTACATAATATTCTTGAAATAACAAAGTTGTAGAGCTAGAGAACAGATAAGTAGTTGCCAGGGGTTAGGGTTTGAGGCAGAATGTGACTGAAAAATGAATGAAAAAGTCATATATCCCGACTGTGATCATAGCTGCACAAATCCATAAGTTTGTGAACTACGAACAGAAAAAATACATGTGAAAAACTGACAAAATCTGAACAAGATCTGTAGCTCAGTGAACAGTTTGGTACCAATGTCAGTTTCTTGGTTTTGATATGCTTTGATTTTGATAGTTATGTAGATAATATTGAAAGCACTGGTTGAAGAGCATATGAGAACTCTGTACGTTCTTTGCAACTTCTCTGTGAGCTCTAAAATTATTTCAAAATTCAAACTTTTTTTAAAAAAAAGGCTGGGTATGGTGGCTTCTGCCTGTAATCCCAGGACTTTGGGAGGCCGAGGTGGGAGGATTGCTTGAGCCCAGGAGTTCAAGGTGAGCCTGGGCAACATGGCAAAACCTCATCTCTAAAAAAAAATACAAAAAGTTAAAAAAAAAAAGGGGGGGAGAAATAATTAGAACAGATACTGCCTGAAAGAAGATACACATGCAATTGGCCAGTGAGCTCAGGAACCAGAGCTCAGACCCAACCACCATCAGGGACACCCAGAGGAGAACCGCGATCAGAGCCCACGGCACACCCACAACCATAGTGGAAACTTCAGGCAAGTGTTTACTGAGGATGTGGAAGAATCGGAACTCTCAGGCACCACTTGTGAGAATGTAAGATGGTGCAACCGCCCTGGGAAACCAGCAGCTTCACAGGAAGTTAAACACGCAACTGCCTCGTACCCCGGCCACTCGAGTCCACGCGTTTACCCACAAGAAACAGAAGGACACATCCTCACCAAGGCTCAGGCCCAAGTGTTCACAGCAGGCTTCATCACAATGGACCCCAAACCAGAGCAACTGTGGCACAGCCATGCCAGGGGACATTCGGCAATCACAGGTGTTTTTTATTTTTTATTTTTTTGTTTTTGTTTTTTTGAGATGGGAGTCTCACTCTGTCGCCCAGGCTGGAGTACTATGGTGTGATCTCAGCTCACCGCATCCCCTGCCTCCCAGGTTCAAGCAATTCTCCGGCCTCAGCCTCCGGAGTAGCTGGGATTACAGGTGCCCGCCACCGTGCCCAGCTGATTTTTGTGTTTTTAGTAGAGATGGGGTTTCACCATGTTGGCCAAGCTGGTCTTGAACTCCTGACTTCAGGTGATCTGCCCACCTCGGCCTCCCAAAGAGCTGGGATTATAGGCGTGAGCCACCACCGGCCCGGCAATCGAACTTGGATGCACCTCAAAAACAAATGCCGAGGCCAGAAGAGTCCATATTGTCTTACTCCACCACAGGAAAGCCACACACAAACCCATCCATGGTGACAAAGTGCCAGTCAGTGATTGTATGAGGTGGGGCGGTTTGTTGCGGATGATATGAGGGGTCTTTTTGGGGTGATGGATGTTACTGATGATATGAGGGGTCTTTTTGGGGTGATGGATGTTACTGATGATATGAGGGATCTTTTTGGGGTGACAGATGCTGTGGATGATATGAGGGATCTTTTTGGGGTGATGGATGTTACTGATATGAGGGATCTTTTTGGGGTGATGGATGTTACTGATATGAGGGATCTTTTTGGGGTGATGGATGTTACTGATGATATGAGGGATCTTTTTGGGGTGATGGATGTTACTGATGATATGAGGGGTCTTTTTGGGGTGATGGATGTTACTGATGATATGAGGGATCTTTTTGGGGTGATGGATGTTACTGATGATATGAGGGGTCTTTTTGGGGTGACGGATGTTACTGATGATTTGAGGGGTCTTTTCGGGGTGATGGATGTTACTGATGATATGAGGGGTCTTTTTGGGGTGATGGATGTTACTGATGTGAGGGATCTTTTTGGGGTGTGGATGCTGCAGATTGTATGAGGGATCTTTTTGGGGTGATGGATGTTACTGATGATATGAGGGGTCTTTTTGGGGTGACGGATGTTACTGATGATATGAGGGGTCTTTTTGGGGTGATGGATGTTACTGATGATATGAGGGGTCTTTTTGGGGTGATGGATGTTACTGATGATATGAGGGATCTTTTTGGGGTGACGCTGCGGATGGTATGAGGGATCTTTTTCGGGTGATGGATGTTACTGATGATATGAGAGGTCTTTTTGAGGTGATGGATGTTACTGATGGTATGAGGGGTCTTTTTGGGGTGATGGATGTTACTGATGTGAGGGGTCTTTTTGGGGTGATGGATGTTACTGATGATATGAGGCATCTTTTTTGGGGTGACAGATGCTGCGGATGATATGAGGGATCTTTTTGGGGTGATGGATGTTACTGATGGTATGAAAGATCTTTTTGGGGTGATGGATGCTGCAGATGGTATGAGGGATCTTTTTGGGGTGATGGATGTTACTGATATGAGGGATCTTTTTGGGGTGATGGATGTCACTGATAAGAGGGATCTTTCTGGGGTGATGGATGCTGCAGATGATATGAGGGATCTTTTTGGGGTGATGGATGTTACTGCTGACATGAGGGGTCTTTTTGGGTGATGCATGTTACTGATGATATGAGGGATCTTTTTGGGGTGACAGATGCTGCGGATGGTATGAGGGATCTTTTTGGGGTGATGGATGTTACTGATTATATGAGGGGACTTTTGGGGTCATGGGTGTTACTGATATGAGGGGTCTTTTTGGGGTGATGGATGCTGCAGATGGTATGAGGGGTCTTTTTGGGGTGGTGGATGTTACTGATGATATGAGGGGTCTTTTTGGGGTGATGGATGTTACTGATGATATGAGGGGTCTTTTTGGGGTGATGGATGTTACTGATGATATGAAGGGTCTTTTTGGGGTGATGGATGTTACTGATGATATGAGGGGTCTTTTGGGGTGATGGATGTTACTGATGATATGAGGGATCTTTTTGGGGTGATGGATGTTACTGATGATATGAGGGATCTTTTTGGAGTGATGGATGTTCTCTGTCTTGATTGTGTTCATGGTCACACAGTTATATAAATTTGCCAGAACTCATCAAGCTATACACTTTAAGTGGGTGCATCTTCCTGTATGTAAACGGCACCTCCCCAGAGATGATTCTTCAAAGCCCTCCTCCTTTTCTAACCTCCTCCTGGGCTTGCTGTAACTTTGTGGTCCCTGACAGCTGCACCCACCGCCCTCCATGCCCTCTACCCTGCTGACCAACTCCCCGTCCACCTTCTCCCAGTTGGCCCAGCTCAAGGGGCAGCCCCCTGCATCGAAAGCAGTTAGGGCCTCCTCCTCCGGCACCACCTGGGAAAAGGTGACTGTGGCCTCTGGAAAGGCTTCCTGGCTCCGGTTGCCAGGAAGAGGCATTCGCACTGCCTCCCTCCTCTGTCCCAGACAGCCCCAGGGCCTCTCACTAAGCCCAGCTGGCCGAATCCGTGCAAAGCTCCTCTCCAAACCGACTTGAGTAACTTCTCTGGCTGAAAATGGGAAGCAGTTGCATAACCAGACATCTGCGGATCCAATTCCTGAGAAAATGTAGGCAGATGCGCCGGACAGTTAGGAGAGGCCCTGAGAAGATGAAGACACGGGCCGGAGGCCACACTTGGCCTGTCTCCCGTTGGCCTGACACATTTTGCAGCTGCTTATCAGGGGGTTAGGAGAACGCTGAATAGGAGGCTGGGGAGGCCAATTCCACAGCGTATGACACACGCGTACCACTGCTTCCAAGGGAATTCATCAAACCAGTTCTTTGCGTAATCGCCTAATGCTTCCTCCTGGGGGAGGGGATTTGTTTATTGATCTTCTTCCCTTCCTATAGATCTGTTGTTCATAGGCATGAGGTGAACACGCGCATTTTCCAGCCAGGAGAACGTTCCGCTCAGCACGCACACCTGGAGACAGCCCAGCCCTGAGCAGGAAATGCCTGCTGGGCTTGAAGAGGGCTTCCTGGGGTGTGATGGATGATTGGGTTCTTTTTAAAGAATAGGAGGCCCCAGTCAGCTTTCCAAGTCCCACACACAGGAGGTCGGGGGGACAGGCCCCTGGCCAGCTCCCATCCTGCTGTGGTCCCAGCACCCCCAGACCTCCCGGCAGCTGACCCAGACTCTTGGGACCTGGCACCCTCATCCCTGGAGGTCAACACTCCAATGTCCGCTGGGCGTCTGACCTGGAGGACAGGGCTCCAAGGCACAGCCCATGGCTGAGAGTGAAGAAACGGCGCCCTCATGGCGGACCCTCCACCAAGCGGCCAGTGAACGAAGTGTGTTTGTACGGGAGGGCTTCCAGCCGCCGCGACCCCCACCATCGAGAAACCATCCTCTGGGCCCACCGCAGAACTCACTGTGCCCACAGCGGGGCTCTCTGGGGAGGGTCCTCGGAGCACAGTGGCGAGTGGACGGCACCCTGACCATCCCGGGCAGGCTTTCCAAACTCGGCTGGTGGACAGCTTCCCTGCTGGGTCCCTGAAGTGAGGCCAGGTCACCCACAAGCCAGGAGCATTGGCCGCACCCTGGCAGCCCTTGGCATCCTCTCTCATTGGGGCGTCACGTTGTCCCAGGGAGCCAGGCTGGTGACACTGGGGTCTGGAAAGAGGGGCCTAGCCCTGTCACACACACTGTCAGCCCTCCAAGGTGGCACGGGGACGGCGAGGCCGACAGCTGCTTGTGCGGAACTGGGCTGGTCCCATCGGCTCTGGAATCAGACCCCCTGAGGCTTGGAAATAAGATGGACCGGGGTCAGGCGATGCTCAGTTGAAGGCAGACACCGCTCCCCACTTTGCTCCACAAGCACAAGCTCTTCCCAGCCAAGGCACAGCAGGGCAGGGGCCGCCAGGCACAGTGAAGGGGGCCAGGGCCTGCAGTCCCCCATCCAGAGCTGGGCAGGGAGCCATGCAGGCTGCGAGGTGGGGTGGCTGCTGCAGCTCCCAAGGGGTCTGGTGTGGACTAGAGGGCGAGTGGAGAACCTGGGACCTCTGCAGGGCGCACAGCCATTTCCACACACAGCCCACTTCAGACCACTTGCTGCGGTGGTCACTGGTGGTCAGCCCATAGCAAAGCGTCTGGCCCTGTGCCCCCACCCTGCCAGCACCAGGCTGGACAGTCCCCAGCGGCTGCACGGTGGCCTGGGCAGCTGTGATGGGAGAGGCCCCCACAGACGAGGCCCCAAGTCGGCTCCTGGCTCTGCCCTGGACCGGCTCTGGGTTCTCGAGAGGCTGGCCCAGCCCTGCGCTGCTCTGAGCCATGCGGACCCCGTGGGGAGGACCCCATACTGCAGATCCCTCACCGGTAGCCCCCACTCCAGGCCAGACTGAAACACCGCGGTGGGCTCCTGGAGCACCCCCCACGCCCGGGGCTGGCTGGCCTGGGAGGAGGGGACACAAGAACTTGGGACGGCAGTTCTCAAAATGCAGTCTGGGGACCGCAGAGGTTCCTGAGATGCTCTGGGGGGTCTGTGAGGCCAAACTTATTTTGATGATGAAACTGACACATTATCCGTCTTTCTCATTCTCGCTCTCACGAATGTTCCAAGTACAAAACCCACGATGCAGTTTCAGATCTCACGTCCCAACAGACCTTTAAGACAGGACCACTTGTTGTGTTTGGGGATCGAATCGAAGCTTATCCACAGTTATCTGAGAGGACTGCCGAGGCACTCCTCCCTCCAAGTGCGCGGTGAGGCCAGACTTTCCACAGATTTGCCCAAAACCCCATTGCAGTGGCTTGAACACAGAAGCAGCTCCGAGAACCAGCTGTCTCCCGTGAAGCCAGACACCGAACAGACTGGAAAAGGGAAAAACAGTGCATATTCCTCACAGATCTTCCGTTCGGGAAACGATAATTTAATTGTTTTAATTAAAAACATAATATGTGAAAATGTAGTGGGTTTATCCTTGTTAATGTGAAACGGATCGATACATCAGTATTTTTGGATTTCTGTTTTAATTTCTGATATAATCAATGTTGATAGACATAACTTGTGCAAACAAAGCTCTTCACGGTCTCCCAAGATCTGTGGGTGTGGGGTGGGATCGTGAGACCACAGTGTGGGGAGCAGGTCCCTCGGTCACCGTCCAGGCTCGGCAGCCCCTCGGCACGGGGCATCCGCGTCCAGAGTCCTACAAGAAGGAGCCTCAGAGAACAGAGCCCCTGGCGCCCCAGCGTGAGAAGCTTCCAATGCTTTCTCAGCATCTTTTTCCAGATAAAAATGCCAGCCCTTCCTCTCCAAAGATCTGAACCGCCTAGGGTTTTCTTGGCCTGGCATCACGCCTTCCCTCATCCGGCACCAACCCTTCCCTCCCGTCTCTATGGTTTCTCCCGCTCTTTATCCTCACAGCCCTGTGGAAAGACATGGTCTGTGTGCCTGGAAAACGATGCAAGGCCGTGGTGCCTGTGACGTCCTCAGACTCACACCCCAATGCGGGGGACTGAACGTTTGTGTTCTCCCCAGTTCACAGGTTGAAGGCCTTGCCCCCAGTGCAGCTGTGTCTGGACACTGGGCCTCTGGGAAGTGATGATGGTTAAATGATGTCAGGAGGATGGAGCCCGGGTCGGCTACGGCTGTGGCCCCAGTGACGCCGGTGTACTCAGGCGCCTGCCAGCTGGGAAGAGGCCTCACCAAGCCCAGCCCTGCAGCACCTTGGCCTTGGCCTTCCAGCCTCCGGATGCGAGAGGATAAATGTCTCCTGCTGAAGCCGCCAGGTCTGTGTTCTCCTTGTGGCTGCAGCAGCCGCACTAAGACACTGGCCACACCTGGTTTCTCCACAGCCGCTGCAGCCACGAGGAGAAGGCCACCCTCTCGCGTTCAAACACAGGTGCTTTTTAATTTCCATAGTCAGTTGCGTCAAGGTGTAACTTACATAAGAGAAAGTGCAGATCGTAAGGGTTAGACTTCGATGCCTTCTTGCAGGTGCACCCACCGTGGAACCACAGCCACAGTGGAGCTGTGGAATGTGCCCGTCACCCACAGCCCGCCTCTGAGTCACTGCCGTCACCCACAGCCCTGCCCCGACCCACAGCCTGCGTCTCAGTCACTGCCCATCACCCACAGCCCTGCATCTCAGTCACTGCCCGTCACCCACAGCCCTGCCTCTCAGTCCCTGCCGTCACCCACAGCCCTGCCTCTCAGTCACTGCCCGTCACCCACAGCCCTGCCTCTCAGTCACTGCCCGTCACCCACAGCCCTGCCTCTCAGTCACTGCCCGTCACCCACAGCCCTGCCTCTCAGTCCCTGCCGTCACCCACAGCCCTGCCTCTCAGTCACTGCCCGTCACCCACAGCCCTGCCTCTCAGTCCCTGCCGTCACCCTGGCTGCTCCTGGAGTTGCACAGAAATGGAATTGTGTGCTTGGATGCCTCCGTGCCCAGCCCCTGTCCCTCCGCGATTCCTCCTTGCTGCTTTGCGGAGCAGTTGTTGGCCGCTCACAGCTGGGCAGGGCCCGTCCTGGCAACAGACCCCTCCTGCTGCGGTGGTTCCCTCGGTGGTGGACGGGGCTGTCGGCACATTTTAGCTGTCACCAATAAAGCTGCTGTGAACATCCCTGTACACGTCGTTGTGTGGAATGAGTTTGGTGTGTCTTAGGGAACTCCTTGGGAGTGGAATGCCTGAGTCACCAGGTGAGGACAAACTCAGCCTTTTATGAAACTGCCAAGTGGTTGTGACACTTAAACTCCCACCAGCACTGTGTCATCGTCTGGCAGCCCTGCAACCCCCCAACGTCTGGTATCTTTTTAATTTGAGATGTTCCAGTGGGTATGTATTGGTGTGTCACCGTGGTTTTAATTCACGTTAAATTAACTACTTGGGCTACACACACACACACACACACACGCACGCATATATTTGGTATTATACCAATACCACGGTCTTATTTACTATAGCTTTATAGTAAGTCTTAAAATTAAGTAGTTTAAAACATACAACTTTGTTCTAAGATTACTTTATTCAAAGCCTTTTGAATTACCATATACATATTAGAATCAGCTTTTTGATGTCCATGAAAAAGACACTGATTGGCATCACATTAAATCCAAATATCAAAGATTTAATGAGTTTTGAGGAAAAACTCTAAGCTTAAAAAGTAGGGTTTCCTAATTCGTGAATACAATATATTTCTCTACTTTTTAGGTCTTTAATTCTCAGCAATGATTTTTAGTACGCAATGTACTGATCTTGTCGTATTTTCTTTTTTTCTTTCTTCTTTTTTTGAGACAGGGCTTCTCTCTGTCGCCCAGGCTGGAGTACAGGGATGCGATCTTGACTCACTGCAGCCTCAACCTCCTGGACTCAAGCCATTCTCCCCCCTCAGCCTCCCCAGTAGCTGGGACTACAGGCGCCCACCACCACGCCCGGCTAATTTTGTATTTTTTGTAGAGACTGGGGTTTCTCCACCTCATCCAGACTGGTCTTAAACTCCTGGGCTCAAGCAATCCACCCACCTCAGCCTCCCACCGTGCTGAGATTATAGGCATGAGCCACCGCGCCTGGCCTATTTTCTTAGATTTATCCCTAAGTAATACATTTTCTTTGATGCTATTGTAAGGCCTTTCTTTGATGCTACAATAAGTCCTTTTAAATTTCTCATTTTCCAGTTATTCACTTTCACTGCCAGAATATGCGATGGGCTCTCGGGTATGCAGTGTGCCAGTCAGCCCCACCCTGACACAGCGGAGCAGAGAGAGACGGTCCTGACGGAGCAGGCCAGGGATCAGCACCGCCCACTGGGCCTCTGACCCCTCTGACCCATGACCTCCAAGCCCTGCGGTCAGTCTGTGCCCAGGCCCAGTCTGTGCTGGAGCCCTCCCTGCAGCCCCCTCTGGCAGGACTTCAGAGGGATCCCCAGCTCCTGGCCCACATGGCCGCATCTGGCCCAAACACACATTCCTTTCGCCACTCTCCTCTGAATGGAATCTGGCTTGCCCCGCACAGCCTCTGCCTCCCTCTGCCCCGCACAGCACCCTCCCTCCCTCTGCCCCGCATAGACCCTCCCTCCCTCTGCCCCGCACAGCCCCCCTCCCTCCCTCTGCCCCGCACAGCCCCCCTCCCTCCCTCTGCCCCGCACAGCCCCCCTCCCTCCCTCTGCCCCGCATAGACCCTGCCTCCCTCTGCCCTGCACAGCCCCCTCCCTCCCTCTGCCCTGCACAGCCCCTCCCTCCCTCCACCTCACACAGGCCCCCTCCCTCCCTCTGCCCCACGCAGACCGCCTGCCTCCCTCTGCCCCGCACAGGGATCCTGCAGGTTCAGGGTGGAGTGGCCTAGCCCAAGCCCTCAGCCTTTCCTTGTGAGTCTGGGTGACTTCTGAAGGGGCTGAGAACCGCTTAGTGGTCTGGACCCTCCCTTGGGGGCTTATGAGCCATCACACCTCGGTCCTGCCATGGAGACCTCCGGCTGACATCTCCTCAGAGCCTCCCTGGTGTCCAGAGCCCCAGCAGGCAGTGCTAAGCCGGCCACACTGAAGGCCAGGAGGCAGCGCACGGGGACGCTGGAGGAGCACCTGGTGAGCTGGGAGGCGAGGCCCTGGGACGGGACAAGTAGCAGACGTCTCAGCGCACACAGGCTCCTGCCGGACCCGGAGGGGCTCTCTGTTCCATGTGGTCCTCCAGGGATTCGGGCTCCTTGGCCCTGAGGGCTCTGCCCACCTAGCACCTTGGGGCTGTTCCTTGAACCCCCTGCCCCCTAGGGTGGGGACAGGAATACGTATTACTTAGGGATAAATCTAAGAAAATAGGCCAGGCGTGGTGGCTCACACCTGTAATCCCAGCACTTTGGGAGGTCGAGGTGGGTGGATTGCCTGAGCCCAAGAGTTTAAGACTGGCCTGGGCAACATGGTGAAACTCCCGTGTAGACCGTCTCTACAAAAAGTACAAAAATTAGCAGCTGGGCGTGGTGGGAGCTGGGCCGAGGGTCAGGCCTGGAGGTGGTGCCCATCACTGGGTCCCGCTCAAGAGAGAAGAGGCTGGGAAGCCAGGTGCAGCTGTGTGCCCACAGGCGGGTGAGACAGGACTGGGCCTGGATCCCGCACCCGCTCGCCGCGCAGCTCAGCGCAAGCGGCCTCCGGGGGCCTCCTCTCTGCAAGGGGAGCGCGCGCCCGGCCCTGACCCTGCCTGCTGATTCTCTGGAAGGTTCATGTCCGGGACTCCTCGGTGACCCTGGGCAGAGCCACCCACATGCGCTGCCTCCCCTCCCACCGCCTGACAGGTCTGGAGATGCCCAGAGACTTCTGGCATCCACCAGCAGCGAGGAGCGTCCCTCCCGCAAGGCTTGGCCTTTCCCCTCCAGCTTTGGCACAGGACGCGTTGGTCTGCCGTTTCTTTTGTGCACAACCATCAGTCATGATGTCAGCCCTGAGCTGGGGCCACAGAACCCTGAGCAAAGTGGGACATAATGGAAAGCAAACAAAAAAGAAAGAAAATGATGGTTTCAAACTAAAAACCTGAGTTCACATAGCGATAGATTTAAAACTATTTTAGAAAACACTCATTATCTCCCTGGCCTATTTTTTATTAAATTGACCAAATCTGTGGATACTCAATTGCTTGTGATGACTGCAAGCGCGCATCCGAGTCCCCAGGGAGGCAGCTTCCCTTCGCTCTTCGCCAGCGCCCCTCAGTCCTAACTTTGAGGAGGGCACACGTGAGATTTCCTTTTACCAACAGAGAATCTCCAAATCCAGCCTTTTACCAGAAGCCTCTCCGAGAAACTGGGGTGAGTAAATCGCCGCTGCTGCTGCCACCTTCAGAGAGGCCTTGGGCGCCCGCCCCGACAGCCCCACACGGTCCCGGAACTCGGGCCAGGCAACGCCCTCTCCTCCGTGCGGGGCTTAGTCATCGCCGTGCCGCTTGGCAGTGGTCTGTGGCCCCCTCAAAATGTTTCCATTTATGGAGAGAACGTGGCCTTCCAGATTTGCTGGCACAGATGGGAAAGCTCAAGCGCTCGGGCGGCCTCAGGGTTTCTCTCAAGGGCAGCAGAGGTCAGGGCCTGCAGGCTGGATGGAAGCTCCCCGCCCGGCCCGGGGGTCTCTGTGCTGCTGCGCTCCCGCCCGGCTCCTTCACAAACCTCCACCAAGTGTGGGACGTGGGCGTGGGGGGGTGGGCGGTGCCCACCCTGATGGGCACTGTGGTCGTCCACTGGTTCTGTTTGTTTAAAGTCTGGGCCTGAAGGCCTGCATGTCTCACCACACAGGACCCTCCCTGCCCGTGACGGGTGGCAGATGGGGTGTAGGCAGCCCCCGTGCTGCCCCTTCCCCAACCCGGGGGTGCACTTGTGTCGGGGCTGGGGTGGCCGTAGTGGCCCTAGATGTCTGCAGCTGGTGGGCAAAGGCAACACACCCTAAACCCACACCTGGCCCTCGGGCCCACCACGGTGCACGCACCCAGCAGCTGAAACTGCCTGGCTCCCCCAGCGTCTCTCCCAGGACCACAGCCCCCCAGCGACCGCTCAGCACTTCTGTGGCTTCGGCGGCAGCGCCCGCGGCTTCCTGTCACTCTCCCAGCTGGCTGAAGGCACAGACCCTCAGCTTCCACAACCCACAACTCCGGGAGGGGATTCCCAACCACAGACAGGGGTCTTTCCCCCGCAGGAAACCTCCCACCCTTCTTCAGGCTGTCAGTGAAACGGCAGCCACTTTTCAAAATAACAGTTTCTCCCTTTACGTGACATTAAAGAGGAAAGCACTCTGCCTTCACCTCAGTTCCGTCGCCCACACGACAATCTCTAGGGGGCTGGGGCTGTGAGTCCCCACCACGCAGGTGCCCAGTGGGCGGGGTCGGGGAGGGTGGTGGGATCGATGGTAAGGCTTCCAGCTTTATTCCACGTCTCCCTTGAAGAAACTGACTTCTGTGACTGGAAAGATCGGGTGCTCCTGCCTAGAAAGATCCAAGCCGTCCAACGTACAGCTGGGCTTTCATGTTAAACCCAGGGAGTGGGGTCTGATCCCTGCTCACAGCCTGGGCAGGTAGCACCGTGCTGGGGAGACGTCCAAACGAAGGTGCTGGGGCTCAGCTCCCTGCAGGTGGGTCCCGCGGCTCCTGTCCCCCGCGCGGGTGATGTGGCCTCGCCGTGTTCCCGATCGGCTCCCCACAGAGGCTGCACGTCTTGTGCATCCTCAGTGTCAAAGTAAAATGTCTGAAAAGTTAAAAACATGCCTCTCTCCAAATGCAGGGTAAAGACACAGCTGAGCCTCTCTTCAGCAGGGAGACGGCAGGGCTGGTGCGGGAGGGGTCGGAGGAGCAGGGACAGTGAGGCCTCAGGAGAGACACTGGGGGGGGAGGCTGTGGGGCAAAACCCTGCGCCCTACACAGCAGAGAAGCTGAGCCCAGCAGCGCGGTGCTTCCGTGCACCTTTCCTAGAGAGAGACACGAAACTTCACAGAACTGGAGCCCTGAATGAACCATGATGCCAAACATGAGCACACAGGTTCACAGGCCCAACACCCCACAGGCCCACACAGTCACAGGTTCACAGGTCCACACGTCCACACACCCACAGGTCCACACACTCACAGATTCACAGGCCCAACACCCCACAGGCCCACACAGTCACAGGTTCACAGGTCCACACGTCCACAGGTCCAACACCCCACAGGCCCACATGGTCACAGATTCACAGGTCCACACACTCACAGGTCCACAGGTCCACACGTCCACAGGTCCACACACTCACAAGTCCACAGGTCCACATGTCCACAGGTTCACACATCCACAGGTCCACACACTCTCAGGTACACAAACTCTCAGGTTCACAGGCCCAACACCCCACAGGCCCACACAGTCACAGATTCACAGGTCCACACGTCCACAGGTCCACACACTCACAGGTCCACACGTCCATGGTCCACATGTCCACACACTCACAGGTCCACGGGTCCACACGTCCACAGTCCACAGGTCCACAGTTCCACACACTCACAGGTCCACAGGTCCACACATCCACAGGTCCACACACTCACAGGTCCACATGTCCACAGGTCCAGCAGTACACGGGTTCACACGCAGTCCACGGGTCCATGGGTTCACACATCTACAGTACAAAGGTTCACAGGTACACAGATCCAGAGGTCCACAGGTTCACACATACATGAGTTCATAGGTCCACAGGTAAAGTGGTCCACAGGTTCAGACACCCACAGGTCCATAGGACCACACATTCACAGGCTCACAGGTCTGCCAGTCCACAGGTCCACAGGTCCACAGGTTCACAGGTCCACAGCACTAACACGACAAGAAGCTGGCATACCATACCCCAGTGTGATGCTGAATGGCCCCATCTCTTTCCCACTTGCCCATATCCAAGTTTTAAATAACCCAAGGTTACAAGTAAGGACACCAGGACATAAACACTTCCCCGAGCCCTATTCTTTAGTGGCTTTGTCGATAGGCTGTGTAGACATGGATGCCCACCTGAGCCCATTGCTCAGTGTCTGTATGGACAGGTGGTGTGGACATGGAAGCTCGCCTGAGTCCGTCCCTCAGTGTGTGTGTGTGGACAGGTCGTGTGGACGTGGACGTTTGCCTGAGTGCGTCCCTCAGTGTCTGTGTGGACAGGTCGTGTGGTCATGGATGTTTGCCTGAGCCCGTCCCTCAGTGTCTCTGTGGACAGGTAGTGTGGACATGGACATTTGCCTGAGTCCGTCCCTCAGTGTCTCTGTGGACAGGTCATGTGGATGTGGACATTTGCCTGAGTCCGTCCCTCAGTGTCTCTGTGGACAGGTCGTGTGGTCATGGATGTTTGCCTGAGTGCGTCCCTCAGTGTCTGTGTGGACAGGTCATGTGGACGTGGATGTTTGCCTGAGCCCGTCCCTCAGTCTCTCTGTGGACAGGTCGTGTGGACGTGGATGTTCCCCTGAGCCCGTCCCTCAGTGTCTGTGTGGACAGGTCATGTGGACGTGGATGTTTGCCTGAGCCCGTCCCTCAGTGTCTCTGTGGACAGGTCTTCTGGACGTGGATGTTCCCCTGAGCCCGTCCCTCAGTGTCTGTGTGGACAGGTCGTGTGGTCATGGATGTTCGCCTGAGTCCGTCCCTCAGTCACTCTGTGGACAGGTCGTGTGGACGTGGACATTTGCCTGAGTCCGTCCCTCAGTGTCTGTGTGGACAGGTCATGTGGACGTGGATGTTTGCCTGAGCCCGTCCCTCAGTGTCTGTGTGGACAGGTCGTGTGGACGTGGACATTTGCCTGAGTCCATCCCTCAGTCTCTCTGTGGACAGGTCATGTGGACGTGGATGTTTGCCTGAGCCCGTCCCTCAGTGTCTGTGTGGACAGGTCATGTGGTCATGGATGTTTGCCTGAGCCCGTCCCTCAGTCTCTCTGTGGACAGGTCGTGTGGATGTGGATGTTCCCCTGAGTCCATCCCTCAGTGTCTGTGTGGACAGGTCATCTACACAGCCCCATCTGCCTTCAGCAAGCACAAGGAGATATCACACACCAGGGTGAAACAGTCACAGAGGCCGCCAAAGCAGCCACATCCAGAACTTTCTAAAGGTTAAAGGGTTGCATGGATGAAGGTATTTATTAAAAAGTTAGTAAGTCATGTTGAAGAACTCATTTTTAGAAGTTCTTCTGAGAGAGCCCACACCTCACTTTTCCTGATGTACCGGTCACAGGGCTCTGATGGAGGAGGGCTGTGGACCCACTCCCAACCCACAGCCTTGGTGGCCCTGGGCAGGCCACCCTTCCCCACCCTGGCTCTCAGTCCCCATTCATCATGGGACCTTCAGTTCTACAGCTAGGGAAGGATTGTGGTTTGGAGAAGAAATGCAGCCCCGGTCATGCCACAGTATGGAGGGGCCGTCCCTTCCCCCAGTTCCTCTTGTCCCCCCTCCGAAGCGTCGTTCTGCAGCTTGGCGTTCAGCTCTGACTGGCTTCCTTTAGCCTTGCTTTTCCAGTGAGGGGTGACTGTGGTGAAACAAGGATCATGAGAATCCATTCAGCCAAAACTCACAGTGGAAGTAGGTCACAGGGTGACCACAGTGAGTCATGCTGGAGAGGCTTAGCCCCCACCTCCCTCGGCTGCCTGGGTCCTCTGGGGATTTCCAGTGGAAAGTCTCTACTTCTGACTCAAGAAGGATGAGGTGGCCCATCCCAGTGGGAACACTTAAGGAAGTCAACGCAACGGAAATCGATTTGAAATAAACGTTTAGTAAGCTTTTCTGAATCTGTTTGCCAGACCCTGTTCATTATGTCAAAGTAGGCAAGAGGCCGCATAAATTTGGATGGTATTGGAAACAGTTATCATGCAAGAGTCCTTTCCAGCTCTCGAAAGATGGTTGAGTTGGAAACAGATGGCGATGGTTGGGGCACATTTCAGACATGGGGAAAAACATAAGAGAAATGAGAGGCAGGGACCTCATGCTCCGTCCTTGGGGAATGGAAAGGGTCCCTTTGACAGGGAAACTCCAGCACTGGCTGTGTCGCCGACTCCTGAACTCAGGTGCTCCAGGGAGAGAGCATCTCTTCATGCTCTGACCTTTATGCCAACCCTTTCTGAAACCACCTCTGCAAAAATTATAATAGTGGGGAAAGTATACAGTGAAAGAGATCTTATCTAACCAGCCCCATCTTACTTTTAACCTCCAAACTGCCTTTGGTCATTCCTGGGCTTGGCAAGCTAACTTGGGAGGAATTTGGTTTATAGTTTAAATGATAATACCCCTTTCCCAAAACTAAACCACCTTTGTAAACCTAACGAAAGACCACCAGGTTAGGAGGACGAGAGGCACCTGAATTTTGCTAAGATGTAGGCAAAAACGATGACCAGCCATTATGCCAGAGGTCACAAGATTTGCAACGTCTCCACTTACTCCCACAGATCACATCACTATTGTAGAACCTGAGATTGGCCTTTTGGGAAGTCTTTACAGGCTTCTGCATTTCTGATGACTGCCCCACTCTGACCCGTGACTCTGGGCTCAACTGCTACTGCAGCCCCCACCCAGAAGTGGACTCAGTGCACAAGGACCCTTTTCCATCCGTAAGACTGCCTCCCCAGCCAATCAACAGCACCCATTCCCTAGACCCCTGCTCACCAAACTATTGTTGAAAATCCCTGGCCTCTAAATTTTCAGGGAGATTGATTTAAGTAGTGACTCTGTCTCCCATGTGGCATGGCCAGCCCCATGTTAATTAAGCTCTTTATTGCAAAGCCATGGTCTCGGTGAATTGGTTTTGTCTGTGCAGGGGGAGGAAGAACCCACCAGGAAACACTTTCCTCCTTCCTGACTTGGATCTGTCCTGGTGCCATCATAATCCCAGAGCCCCAGGCTCCATCTCAGAGCTGAGTTTGGGTCACCCTCTGCCTTAAGCCGTCCAACTGCTGTCAGTGTAGACGCTTCCTTGGTGGAGACGTCTCATCTCCACCCCACTTTTCCCCTTCCCATACCATGTTAGGCCCCATGTGTGACCTCTATTTTGGCCGTTGTAAGCCATTCTTAGATTTTCTACAAACCAGACAGAAATTTCTCTAACTCCCAGCAATAGTGGTTGCTTCCCTGTATACAGCACAGACTCAAGTTCTGGGTTTCCAGAAAGGTGCATTAAAGGGTGAAATCAAATGTTCAGCTCTGTGGGAAGCTGAGAAGTGCAAGTGCCTCTCATCTGGCCAGAAACATTTATGTGGTCAAGCTGTGCCAAGCTCTGCTGAAGGCAGCGGAGCACCATCCCCTGTTGTCCTTCCTCAGTTTCCTCTTCACCCATCCCCTTCGAGCACTGTCTACAAAAGAAGAAAATGCACATTTGAAGAAAAGACAGCTAAGTGGAGCCAACATTTTGGTCATATGAATCACTCGTTGGTTTGTTTGTGATATTTGTTTCTCATTAAGTTGTGAGAAGAACACAGAGGAACACACAAGCACTTGGAATTGTTCTAAATCTTGGGATAAAGGATCTAACTCTTTAAGGCTCAACCCTTAAGACCCTGGAGACTTCACTAGGAACCTTCCTCAGGCTGTTTTCTGGCTTATTCTGCACAGGGCAGGTTGGACAGAGAGGCTGCATGACCACCAGTGTCTAGCCCTGGTGGACTCTGGCTTATTCCACACAGGGCAGGTGGGACAGACAGGCTGCATGACCACTGGTGTCTAGCCCTGGTGGACACCGGCTTATTCTGCACAGGGCAGGTTGGACAGACAGGCTGCATGACCACAGGTGTCTAGCCCTGGTGGACACTGCCTTTCTCAGGGTTTTCTTATTTGCTGTGTCTTCCATGGCTGCCTCACTCCTCATCAGTTATGGGCTATAGTAAGCCCCAGCAACAAACCCTGACACAGGCAAGTCTGCCTCCACCATGCACCATGGGTCATCCAGCTACCGGTCTACAGAGCAGTGTGGCCAGGGGTCTGGCCTGAAACTCAGGAAAAGAAGGACCCTGGCCCATTCCCACCTACTAAACTGCAGATCTCAAGCACTGTTTAAAAAAATCTTTAGACAAATTAAATTTAGCAGTTTACTTGAGCAAACAACAATTCACGAATCAGGCAGCACCCAGAACCTCCAGAGGTTCAGCAAGTTCCACCCAGAAACATGGGCAGGCAGCACTTATAGACAGAACCCGGAAGTGAGACACAGAAACAGCCTGATTGGCTACAGCTGGACGTCTGCCTCATATGGGTGTGGTCTGATCTGTTGGCAGCCTGTGATTGGCTGAAGCTTGGCTGCTGTGATTGACTGAAACTCGGATACTTGTTAAAAGAATACCAGAAGCCCCTCAACTTACAGTAAGGTTATGGCCCAATAAATGCATCATAAGTAGAAAAAATCATGAGTCAAAAAATGCATTTAATGCCCCAATAAACCCATTGAAAAACAAAAAAAAATCATAAACCAGTGTCAGGGATCACTTGAACATGCTTAGTTAGGTTGCAGCTTGTTTACATCCTGAGGTAGGTTGCAGTTCACTACATATGGGGGCAGCTTCAGGCCAAACTTAATTTAACAGCACCCATAACCCACCCTGGGAGCCCGCATGTGCCCACAGCCCCACAGAGGTCCTCTGACCCCAAATATGCCCAACAAGAGGCTAGGCAGCCTGGACCTGTCACCTGAAGGGGAAGCCAGATCCTCCCCACCCAGAGAGGCCAGAAGTTCAGTGCCTGTCCAAGTCACCTGCACCCACCGGGAGGGAGCCCTGCCCTTCAGAAGTCACAGGGACCTGGCACCAGGGGCCCCGTAAAGCCCAGCAGCATCTGGGGTGTGGGTTCCACTCGCTGGTTGTGGAAACTGCAGGGGATGCTGAGGGTCCTGCCAGCCCTGCCCGGAGCCCGTCCAGGATCAGTGCCTGTGCAGTAGTCACGCCTGCCATCTCCGCTGCCTCTACTCACGCTGATTTCATCGGACTCGAGAGAAAGGGGGGCCACAGCAGCGTTTTCACAATAGCTAAAAGGTGGAAGCAATCCACGTGTCCCCAGTGGATGAATGGATAAAGAAAACGTGTCTATCCATGCAACGGAGTATCATTCAGACGTGAAAAAGGACGAAGTCCTGACGCGTGCTACAA
Organism: Homo sapiens; assembly: GCF_000001405.40. Classification (NCBI taxonomy): domain Eukaryota; kingdom Metazoa; phylum Chordata; class Mammalia; order Primates; family Hominidae; genus Homo; species Homo sapiens. Next base: position 46,064,373 of record NC_000021.9, read on the forward strand.
CGTGGATGAGCCCGAGACGAGTTCTGCTGAGCGAAGGAATCCAGACACAAACGGCTCCTGTTGTAGGATTCATTTATACGACTTGGTCAGCATAGGCAGATCCACAGAGACAGAAGGCAGGCTGGGAGGTGCCAGGGGCTGGAGGACTGAGGAACGGGCAGGGGGGCATCTACTTCACGAGGGCGAGGTTTCCTCTTGGGGAAATGAAATGTTCTGGAACTGGACCGAGGTGGGGGTTGCACAGCACTGTGAAAGTACTAAATGCGGCTGAACTGTACACTTTTAAAAAGGTTAAAATAATGGATCCTGAATTTTATCTCAATTAGGAAGGAAGGAAGTGAGGAAGGGAGGGAGGACGGAAGGAAAGGAGGAAGAGAGGAAGGGAGGGAGGGAGGAGGGAAGAAGGAAGGAAGGAAGGGATGGAGGGATGGAGGGAGGGAGGGAGGGGGAGAGAGGCTGTTCGGGTCTCTCGTGGTGGGCACCTGACGCCTGTCATCTGAGAGTGCTCTGCTCCCCTGGGAGGCATGGAGGATGGCACTGGGGGGTGCTTGAGAGATGGAATAAACACGCCAAGGCCCAGAGGGGCCACCCAGCTGCTTTACAGGGAGGCAAGAGCCAGGGACTGCCCAGGTGACCGGCCAGCAGCAGGGCCGAGTCCCGCCTGTGTCATGCTTGCCTGGCCCTGTGTGCGGCGCCCCTTCCTCCGGGCCTGGTTGAGGGGAGACGGCCTCACCCCACTGCTTGGGAGTGCGCTGGCAGTGCCTGCAGCTCCTCCACCCTCGACGTGGGCGCTGCGGGATGAACTGGAGGTTGCATCTGGCTGTGGGCCTTTTCCTTAAGTTCACAGCCTCCACCTTTCCGCCCGATTGCTGATGCTCAGTGTGCTGATGGGACCTTCCCTCCCACTCATAACCACCTAGAATGCAGCCGGTGTCTCCCTGCGGCTGGTGGTGTTTCAGAGCTAACAGTCCGCACAATGTGTCACTGGCCCTGGCCGTTACTCCATGCGGAGCCACCACTCCTGGCCCCTTTCCCCATGGAAAAGCCAGCTCCTCTCCTCCTTCCTGTGGACACCGGGCGGGGGCCGGAGGGGCCACCAGCAAAACAGAGCGCGCTGGGACTGGGGCGTGGCCGACTGTGTCTCTTCCATGCTCTCAGATACTTTGGAAGTCAGTTTGGATTTTTGTGGAAACTTTATTTTTTTTACTTTCCCTCTCGTTTCTCTGGTAACCTCAAAAACAAACACACACAGCTGTGTCACCTGGCTCCCTGCTACATTTTTCCAGCAGACACCTAGGGCTTGGACTCCAGAGGTCCAGGCGCCAAGCTCACTCTCTGTTAACCCCTCCTGTCCCGCTCAGGCCACACCCCAGCCCTGCCACAGAGCTGGGTGGGAAACGCCTCTTCCAGGGCCCCGGGGAGAAGGAACCGGGGCTGCTGCCTCCACCCGCAGAAGAGGTTTCTCCCCAGACCTTTCTAGCAGAAAATGAAACAAACAGGAAACAGCCCTGCTTCCGCACCAGGCTGAAGACCCCTGTCTCTAGAAGTCACAGAATGTGTTGCTGGAAAGGCAGGAGCCTTTATTCCAGCCTTCTCGTTGCAAAATTAGGACTCCAGGAGCAAAGAGAAGGCCGCACAGTGAATGGGTGGCAGAGCCAGAACGGGGAACCCTCATTCCTGGACCGCCTCCTGCCTGACCTTCCCGCCTTGCAGCCCCTGAGAACAGCAGCGCCTGTGCGGCCGGAGGCCCCCGGGACCCAGGGCGGCTGCTTCTCCAATTCCTTTCCTGCTGACTTGTTCTATTTTTGTTCTAAACAAAGAATTCCATGTTTCTACCCGGTTTTGAATCCCAAATATATACTGTGACAACACAAATTTCCTAACACATACAGCGTTATCAGCCAAGTTCCCTGCCCTTCATTAATTCACCAAATGGTTGTTCAGCACGTACTGAGAGCAAAGCGCTGTGTTGGGGGCCGGGGGAAGGAGGCCTGGTGTGAGCCCTGCTCTCCGACAAGGCGATGCAGAGACAAGTCGGTGCACAGTGCAGGCCACAGCGCGTGGCTCACGGGTGTGCATGGAAAGCCACCACCCTCCGTGGCGTTCTGCAGGAGAATATCTGTTGCTTTGGCCTCTCAGCAAACACAATTTAGTATTTACATCCTTATTCTCACACCCAAAGGAAACAAAAATATGAAACAATTATGAAAATCTCCAGGTGTCCACCAGGCTTTGCAAGCACAGCCGTTGCTCCCAGCTACGTGGCTGCACCGACGCTGGCCACGGTTCAGCCACTCTGGGTCTCTGCTGGAGGGAAGGACGGCGGACTCAAGCTATCCCGTTGTTCTCTAAGCAACCTTATCTTAGGGAGCACCAGCCATACGTTAGATGAGGGTGTAGACACAGATAATAGACAGTGCTTCACAGCTTATAGGAAGGTTAGGGGAGAGAATTTCAAGCAAAATAATCATTTGAAAAGCAACTTCTAACTCTCCCATCCAGGAGCCCTTTAGAAACGTATCTAGGCTAGCAATTCCCCACCCTCTTTAAAAATGCGTGCGGGCTGGGAGCCAGAGGGAAGGCTGAGCTGCCGCCCAGAAGCTGCCCTGCCTTCGTGGAAGTGAGAAGCCAGCAGGAGCAGCTGGGGGCTGTCTGCAAGGCTCCCTCCTGCAAGAGACCCAGGCCCAGGACACAGGGCCAGAGGGAGGGGACTGTTGGGCCATAGACCCCGACGCCCCTGTCTCTGTGGAGGTGGGTCGCTGGGGCCACGGCCGCAGCTGGGGGCTCCAGAATGTCCAGCCACAGAGTCTCCGCTCCTGTGCAGGCTCTCAGCTCCCGCCCTGCATGCTGGATTGTAACCCATGTGGCCTCGCCGCCGCAGGCTGGAGCGTAACCCGACACAAACTCGGGGTCAGTCTTTCCCTTCATCTGGCTGAAAAGGAGCTCGGCTGGGAACGTCCTTCAGTCCCAGACAGGCCCCTCTCAGTTCCAGCATCACCCTAAAAATGAGGCACTTAGACAGAGACCTCCCTCAAAAACACTGAATGAAGAAAATCACTGGAATTCATTTTTTAAATACTGCCCCTCAGAAGAAAAAAGACAAGAGGTGCTAGCTCAGGCCCTTCCAGAAGCAGAGGCCGGATGGGCCTGGATGCGGAGCGTCTGGGGAGGAAGAGGAAGGGAGCCGGGGAAGCAGAGAGTTCGGTGGGAGTGGGGCCTGGGACTCCAGCTCAGGTGGGGGAGCTCAGACAGGCCAACAGTGTTCTCGAGCTCAGCTCAGCACTGCAAGGGGTCCCGTGTGTCCCAGGAACGGAGCTGGGAGCACGCGGCCAGGCCCACTGAGGTGGAGGAGCTGGGAGCTGCCCATCATTCCACTCCCTGCGTACCGCACTCCCCGCTGTCTCACTCGCTCCCCTGGGCATTGGCCAGAGCCACTTCGAGGCTCTCACCGGCCTCTCCTCCCTGCCAGGGGTCTCGGGGCCACAACTGATGCACGTCCCTCCCTCCATTCCGAATCCCCCCACCCGCAGCAGCTATCACCCGGGCAAGTCTCAATGGCTCCCCTGGGGCATGGCTCAAGCCCTGTGGCCAGTACAAGGGGGCACGGGGCACCAGGCGAGACGCCTGGGTTTCACACACGTGCCCCCGGCCAATGCCTCCTGCCAAGACGGTGACTTCCCTTCTTACCTGCTGGTCCTGGGACATAAGGAGTCCAAAGTGCCCTGGCAGCAGATAGAACACCGGGTCTAAGGACACCGGGTCTAAGGGGACTCGGAGGACAAGACCGTCAACCCCGCAGAGATCAGAGGTGCAGGGCAGGAAGCACCACATTCTTCCAGGACTGCTGGGAGTGACCGGAGTGGGCATTTCCGCTCCCAGCCTTGGGTTCCTGGACCCATCAATTCTTCCTGATGGGATGCAGCACATACAAGCGCCTGATTCTGCACAGACACTGCACCCTGAAGGAGCCATCCGCCCCCCTGCAAGCCCCACTCTAGTCGGGGACCCCAATGACATTGTAGTCTCTGAGTAACAGATTCAGACTCTGCGTCCAGTTGTCTTCACATGTCTGAACCTCCTCCTTTCCGTCTACAGCCACCAAGTTAAATAACAGCGGATAATTTTCTTCCTGCCCATCGACCCATCTGCGTGTGTGTGCATGCATGCATGTGTGTGTGTGTGTGCATGTGTGTGCATGTGTGCCTGGGTGTGTGCACGTGCATGTGTGTGCATGTGTGCCTGGGTGTGTGCACGTGCATGTGTGTGTGCACGTGTGTGTGTGCGTGTGTGTGCGTGTGCGCATGTGCCTGGGGGAGTGTGTCTGTGTGCATGTGTGTGTATGCACGTGTGCCTGGGTGTGTGTGTGCACGTGTGCCTGGGTGTGTGTGCACGCATGTGTGCATGTGCCTAGGTGTGTGCATGTGTGCCTGGGTGTGTGTGTGTGCACGCCTGTGTGAGCATGTGTGCCTGGGTGTGTGTGCATGTGTGTGCAAGTCCATGTGTGTGCATGTGCATGTGTGTACGTGTGTGTGCATGTGCCTGTGTGTGTGTGCATGTGTGCCTGGGTGTGTGTGGGTGTGTGCGCATGTGCCTGGGGGAGTGTGTCTGTGTGCATGTGTGTGTATGCACATGTGCCTGGGTGTGTGTGTCTGTGCATGTCCCTGGGTGTGTGTGCATGCATGTGTGCATGTGCACACGTGTGTGCATGTGTGTGCATGTGTGCCTGGGTGTGTGTGCACGCCTGTGTGAGCATGTGTGCCTGAATGTGTGTGCATGTGTGTGCAAGTTCATGTGTGTGCCTGTGTGCATGTGTGCCTGTGTGTACGTGTGTGTGCCAGTCCATGTGTGTGCATGTGTGCATGTGTGCCCGTGTGTGTGTGCGTGTGTGTGTGCGCATGTGTGTCTGGGTGTGTGCGCGTGTGTGCGTGTGCGTGTGTGCGTGCCTGGGTGTGTGTGCACACGCATGTGTGTGCATGTGTGCCTGTGTGTGTGCACTCGTGTGTGAGCATGTGTGCCTGGGTGTGTGTGCATGTGTGTGCAAGTCCATGTGTGTGCTTGTGTGCCTGTGTGCCTGTGTGTGTGTGCATGTGCGTGTGTGTGCATGTGTGTCTGGGTGTGTGCATGTGCGTGTGTGTGCATGTGTGCCTGGGTGTGTGTGTATGCACACACATGTATATGCATGTGTGACTGGGTGTGTGTGCATTGTGGGGGTGGGGGGAGTGCTGAACGTGCCTTCGCAGTGACAACTCCAACTCTAAGTCGGTACCACAGGGCTCATTCTCGCCTTCCTTCCCTGTGTGTCTAACGCTTCCTCTCCAGTCAGGAGAAACCTGCTTCATGCCACCCACCGTCTCCTTACTGATCTGTTCGACCCTGGAATTCACGTGAAGCATTTTCAGAATTGTACCTCGTGAGAAACAAATGAATCCAGAAAGTCAACCAGAGGGTGATGCAGCACATGGTGGCTCGGAGCACACAGCCTCTCCGAGGCCATCACAGACGCACTGGTGTGGGGGGCTCCCCTCAGACCCTCAGCGATGGCACTTTCTGTAGGCCGCAGAGGTAGGGGCCGCAGAGCCAAGCTTGCTAGCATCCATGGGACGCTGAGGCCCCAAATAATAGAGACCAGATGGCAGCGCTTACCCCCAGGGCCGAGCTGAGGGGGCGGCCAGAGGCGCTTGGCCTGCAGGGAGCCGTGGAGGCTGGCGGAGCACGGCACCCTGGGAAAGGTGGCAGGGGCAAGAGGGTCACACAGGTCATAGGCCAGCCCAGCGGGCAGGGCCCTGCACGTCCTTCTCACTGGCACCTCTGCAGGACCCGAGAGGGGGCATGGCCCAGAAAAGGTGTTCAATAATTGTTGTCTGAGTGTGTAATAAAGGAACAAATGAATGATTGGAAAATTCACAGACTGCTTCCCCGACTACATGGAGGGAAAAGGGTAACCATTTGGTACATGGTAAAGTTCAAGCATCAGAAATGCCGGATTAAATTGAATAAATGTGCCAACGATTAATTCAGTGGCTTCAAGAATTAATGCCCAAAAGGCCAGGCACGGTGGTTCATGCCTATAATTCCAGCACTTTGGGAGGCTGAGGCTGGTGGATCACTTGAGGTGAGGAGTTCAAGACCAGCCTGGCCAACATGGTGAAACCCCATGTTTAACTTACTACTTAAAAAATACAAAAATTAGCCGGGTGTGATGATGCACACTTGCAATCCCAGCTTCTTGGGAGGCTGAGGCACGAGAATCACTTGAACCCAGCAGGCAGAGGTTGCAGTGCGCCGAGATCGCGCCACTGCACTCCAGCCTGGGCAACAGAGTGAAACTCAGTCTCAAAAAAAAAAAAAGAAAAGAAAAAGAAAAAAAGAAATTAGTGCCTGAAGGAGTTAGCAAGGACCCCTCCAAAGCCCGCCTTTCTCTTGGCCACTCATGTGCGCTCTCAGCATGTCCAGAAGCTCCTGCATTTCTTCGTCTGCAACAGAAGGCTGGCTTGCTGATCGACTGATTGACAACTTCTTTAAAAGCAGAGCCTCCAGTCATCTTTCAGATGGCTCATTGTGGGCCGTGTCTTTTTAGGTTGGCGGCACCCTTCTTTTTTAAAAGTACACCTGTTGGTGGAAAGTTAACACTCTTTGAGGACTGGATGAGCTTGTATTTCGCTAAGGCGCTGTGGATTTGGAAGCAAGAAGGTGCCAGGGCTGTGCAGGTGAACCTGCTCTGCGATTCCATGAAAGAGCAACTGCCCCAAATACCTTCCCTGCCACAGGCCTGAACGCCTTCATCCTCAGTGTGAACCCCTCTCGGGACCGAAGGCACTGATAACATGGGCATCTGCTCCCTGGGTGGGCTTGCACGCCTCTGCAGGGTCTCTCGTTAACGAGAGACCCTGAGAACCTGGCACCTGGGAGGAAGGCATGGATTTCCGTGGGTGTGGCTCACGCTAGGTGGTGGTGAAGCCCTGCAGAGTCAAGAGAGGACAAGAGGACAAGTGCGTGGAGGAACCCACAGAGGAGGGGCAGGAGCCAAACTCTCCATGAGCCCCTGGACCCCCGAGCAGCTGAGATCACAGCGCTCCAGCCAACAAAAGGCAAGCAGTGACGTGAAGAGAGCCCTGGAGTCAGAGTGAGAAGTCCTGGGCTCTGGCCACAGCTCTGCCCACTTGTGAACATGATTTTTGTAAGTTCATGAATAGAAGGAGAGGAATTTTCTTAGTCTGCTTGTGTTGCTATAACAAAATACCTGAGACTGGGTAATTTATCAATAACAAAACTTTATTTTCTCACAGCTCTGGAGGCTGGGAAGTCCAACATCAAGGCCCCTGCAAGTTCAGTGAATGGGCAAAGGCCCATTTCTCATGGAAGGTGCTGCCTGGGGGTCCTCACACGGTGGGAAGAATGAAAAGGGGAAAAGGGACAAGTGCCACGTCCTCAGATGGCAGCAGAAAAGCAAAAGGCACACGCAGGCTCCCCCCGCCCTTTTATAAGGCGCTAACCTGCTCATGGTGGTGGAGAAGGCCTCACCTCTTCATACGCCAAAATGAAGATTAACTTTCTTTTTTTCCCCAAAAAGCATAGTTCTTACTGATACACAGTCCTAACCACTTGAGTGGTGGGTGAAGTGGGAGAGGATCTCTTTTGAATCATAATGCGGCTTCACTGTTACCAAATACGCAGGCTGGTGGCATCACAGATGTATAAACCAGTGACAATGTTTAGTTTCTGCTAGAATGACAAGGTGAGCGTCAGCCTCTGCTTCTGTAAGTATCCTGAATTTAGGATTTGCAGCTGTAATCTCTCCAACTTTTCTTTCTGATGATTTGAAACCAATGGATAGCACGGTAGACAGGCAGGTAATTGCAGTTACCACTGTCTGTTCAGGCCGGGCACAGTGGCTCATGCCTGTAATCCCAGCACTTTGGAAGGCCAAGGCAGGCATCTAGGAGGAAGGCATGGATTTACGTGTGTGTGGCCCATGCTGGGTGTGGTGGTGAAGGAAGTGGTGAGGTCAGGAGTTCGAGACCAGCTTGGCCAGCATGGTGAAGCCCCGTCTCTACTAAAATTACAAAAATTAGCATGGTGGCATGGCATACAGGCATGGTGGCACATTCCTGTAATCCAAGCTACTTGGGAGGTTCCAGGGAGGCAGAGGTTGCAGTCAGCAGAGATTGCGCCACTGCACTCCAGCCTGGGTGACAGAGTGAGACTCTGTCTCAAAAAAAAAAAAAAAAAAGATATGCCAAGCAAATAGAAATTATAAGAAAGTTGGAGGTGCAACTTTAATGTCAGGCAAAGTGGACCCAGGACAAACAATATCATAAGGAATAAAGAAGAAAGATAAAGAAGTCAACTCGTCAAGAAGACAGCATCTGAAATGAATATTCACCAAATGCGAAATTCTCAACATCCATGAATTAAAAACGGACAGAACTGAAAAGAGAAATGGATTAATCCACAATTATAATACTTATAATGGCGATTTCAACCCCCTTTCAGTAACTGTTAGAACACATAGGCATTAGAGTTAATCAAAAAGTCAATAATTATTCATCTAAAAGTCAACATTTTGAAGACATCCAAATATTCTGAAATCAAGCAATGCACTTCTAAATAATATTTCAGTCAAAGAAATCAAAAGAAAATTTAAAAATATTTTTTACTGAAAGAAAGTAATATTTTTAATGTCAAAATAAAAGGTATACCTAAAACAGTGTTTGGAGAAAAACACACAGCCTTATGTGCTTGTATTAAAAAAGGAGAAAAGTCTAAAATCAAGGATATAGGTTTCTACTTAAGAAGCTAGAGAAAGTAAAAGTAAATCAAAAGCTAAGTAGAAAGATGGAAATTAAAAAAGAAAAGAGTGGATATCAAGGAAACTGACCAAAAAAATGGAGAAAACCAATTAAATCAAAGCTGGTTTATTGAAAATGTCAATAAAATTAATAAGTATCTAGATAGATTGATCAAGATAAGAAAAAAGAAAAAACACAAATTACCAATATGAGGACTAAACTGGAGCACAGCACTACAGATCTTACAGATGTTAAAAGGATCATAAGGAAATATTATATTATAAAGACCTCAAAATTGACAACTTAGAAGAAATGGAAAAATTCATTAAAAGACACAAATTACCAAATTGGATAAGGGAAATAATAGAAAGTCTGAATATAGCTATAGACTAAAAGAAATTAAAATTATTACCAAAACCTTCCAAAATGGAAACTCCAGGCCCAGATGGCTCCTGGATGAATTCTATCAAATATTGAGGAAGTAATAATGCCGATCTTCACGAAAGCTGTCAGAAAATAGAAAAATTTCCAACTCATTTTTTGATGCCAATATACTAGTCTTCAAAACAGACAGTTGTCTTTTTGGGTTTTTTTTTTTTTTTTTTTTTGAGACAGGGTCTCACTCTGTCACTCAGGCTGGAGTGCAGTGGCATGATGACAGCTCACTGCAGCCTCAACCTCCCAGGCGCAAACGATCCTTCCACCTCAGCCTCCCCAGTAGCTGGGACTCTAGGCACGAAACCACCATGCCCAGCTAATTTTTTTTTGTTATCACTTGTTTGTAGAGACAGGGTTTCACCATGTTCATCAGGCTGGTCTTAAACTCCAGGCTGGTCTTGAACTCCTGGGCTCAAGTGATCCACCCGCCTTGGCCTCCCAAAGTGCTGGGATTACAAGCATAAGCCAGCATGCCCAGCCAAAACAGACAGATTTTAAAAGGAAAGAGACCTGTATGCCAATATCACTCACAAGCCTACAGTTAAAAGTCCTTAACAAAATCAAATTCAGCAATGTATTTTTTAAAATTCATCATGATCAAATGGGATAGATCCCAGAAATGCTAGACTCATTTAATATTAAAAACCAAATAATACAATTCACCATATTAATATAAATTTTTTTAAGACAGAGTCTCACTCTGTTTCCCAGGCTGAGGTAGAGTGGCGTGATCTCGGCTCACTGCAACCTCTGCTTCCCTGATTCAAGCAATTCTCCTGCCTCAGCCTCCCGAGTAGCTGAGATTACAGGTGCCTGCCACCACCCCTGGCTAATTTTTGTATTTTTAGTAGAGATGGGGTTTCACCATGTTGGCCAGGCTGGTCTTGAACTCCTTACCTCAAGTGATCCACCCACCTCAGCCTCCCAAAGTGCTGGGATTTAAAGATGTGGGCCACAGTGCCAGGCCTATAATGATTTTTAAAAAACATATGATCATCTCAGATTTCTCTACATCTATAGAAAAAGCATTTGTCAAAATCCAATAGCTGTTTATCATAAAAACTATTAGAAATCAGAAATAGGGAAACTCTTCAAACCTGACAAAGAATATCTATGAAAAGCTTATAGCTAATATCAATTTAATGAGAAAGGTTAAATCTTTCCTCTTAAGGAGCAGTGCAGTGGTGAATACTCTCCCCACTTCTCTTCAATGGCATATGCAGAGCCCTGGCCTAAGCCCAGACTTTTTATGAGAAAAATAAATAAAAGGCATACAAATTGGGAAGAAAGATGTAAGACTGATTGTCTTTATACACAGACAACATGATTGCGTATCTAGAAAACTTAGGAAACCCAAAAAGCTACTAGAACTGACATTTGAATGTAGCAAAGTCACAGAATACAAGATCAATGAACAGTCAGAAATTATAATTTATGAACTACAATTTATGATAGTATCAAATAACAATAAATGCTTAGGGATAAATTTAACATTTGGATCTCCAAGTGTAGTGGCTCCTCACACCTATAATCCCAGCACGTTTGGAAGCTTAGGTGAGTCCAGTTCAAGAGCAGCCTGGGCAACTTGGAAGGACAGCCTGTCTCACCACTCCTATTCAACATAGTATTGGAAGTTCTGGCCAGGGCAATCAGGCAAGAGAAAGAAATAAAGGTATTCAAATAGGAAGAGAGAAAGTCAAATTGTCTTTGTTCACAGATGACATGATCCTATATCTAGAAAACCCCATCGTCTCAGCCCAAAAGTTTCTTAAGCTGATAAGCAACTTTAGCAAAGTCTCAGGACACAAAATCAATATGCAGAAATCGCAAGCATTCCTATACACCAAAAACAGACAAGCAGAGAGCCAAATCATGAGTGAACTCCCACTCACAATTGCTACAAAGGGAATAAAATACCTAGGAATACAGCTATCAAGGGAAGCGAAGGACTTCTTCAAGGAGAACTACAAACCACTGCTCAAGGAAATCAGAGAGGACACAAACAAATGGGAAAACATTCCATGCTCATGGATAGGAAGAACCAATATCGTGAAAATGGCAAGTAATGTATAGATTCAATGTTATTCCCGTTAAACTACTATTGACATTCTTCACAGAATTAATTAGATGAAACTATTTTACGATTCATATGGAACCAAAAAAGAGTTCTTATAGCCAAGACTATCTTAAACAAAAAGAACAAAGCTGGAGGCATCACACTGTTGGACTTCAAATTATGCTACAAGGCTATAGTAACCAAAACAGCATGATACTGCTAAAAACAACAACAAAAAAACAAACAAACAACAAACAAAAAAACAGACACACAGACCAGTGGAACAGAATTGAGAACTGAGAAATAAGACCACACATCTACAACTATCTGATCTTTGACAAACCTGACAAAAACAAGCAATAGGGAAAGGATTTCCTATTTAATAAATGGTGCTGGGAAAACTAGCTAGCCATATGCAGAAAATTGATACTGGGCCCCTTCCTTACACCTTATACAAAAATTAACTCAAGATAGATTAAAGACTTAAATGTAAAACCCAAAACTATAAAAACCCTAGAAGAAAATCTAGGCAATGCCATTCAGGACATAGGCACAAAGATTTCATGATGAAAATATCAAAAGCAATTGCAACAAAAGCAAAAATTTATAAATGGGATCTAACTAAAGAGCTTCTGCACAGCAAAAGAAACTATCATCAGAGCAAACAGTCAATCTACAGAATGGGAGAGCATTTTTGCCATCTATCCATCTGGCAAAGGCCTAATACCCAGAATCTACAAAGAACTTAAACAAATTACAAGAAAAAAGCAAACAAGCCCATTAAAATGCAGGCAAAGGACATGAACAGACACTTCTCAAAAGAAGACATACATGCAGGCAACAAACATATGAAAAAAAGCTCAACATCACTGGTCATTACAGAAATGCAAATCAAAACTATGATGAGATACCATCTCACACCAGTCAGAATGGCGATTATTAATAAGTCAAGAAACAACAGATGCTGGCGAGGCTGTGGAGAAATAGGAATACTTTTACACTGTTGGTGGGAATGTAAATTAGTTCAACCATTGTGGAAGACAGTGTGGTGATTCCTCAAAGATCTAGAACCAGAAGTGCTATTTGACCCAGCAATCCCATTACTGGGTATATACCCAAAGGATTATAAATCATTCTATTATAAAGATACAGCACGCATATGTTCATTGCAGCATTATTCACAATAGCAAAGACATGGAATCAACCCGAATGTTCATCCATGATAGAGTGGATAAAGAAAATGTGGTACATATAGACCATGGAATACTATGCAGCCATAAAAAGGAATAAGATCATGTCCTTTGCAGGGACGTGGATAGAGCTGGAAGCCGTGATCCTCAGCAAACCAACGCAGGAACAGAAAACCAAACACCGCATGTTCTCACTTATAAGTGGGAGCTGAACAATGAGAACACATGGACACAGGGAGGGAAACGACACGCACTGGGGCCTGTCAGGGTGTGGGGTTGGGGGAGGGAGAGCATTAGGAAAAGAGCTAATGTGTGCTGGGCTTCATACCTAGGTGATGGGTTGGTAGGTGCAGCAAACCACCATGGCACACGTTCACCTATGTAACAAACCTGCACATCCTGCACATGTACCCCAGAACTTAAAATAAAAAAAATACTCTTAGCTTCTGTGTGTGTTTCTGTGTGTCTGTATCGTCTCCTCTTCTTACATGGACACCAGCCATTAGATTAGGGCCACCTAATCCCATAGAGCTACAGGACACAGGACGTCCTGGTTCCTGGAGCATTGACTGTAAGTCAGACGTTATGTAATACAATTCTCTCTTCACAAAGAGAAACGGATAAAATGTGTCTACTTTGTCATTTTGGATTGGAGAAGAGAACGTCCATGGCTCTTTGAATGAATGAACCATTTCACCAAGTCTCAGTGGCCCCAAGAATCCTTAATAAATACCCTACTGCTGGTTCCCCCGTGCTGGGGTGGGGCAGATGAGTAGCGTAGCACCGAGAGCTCATGGTCCTTCTCAGGACAGTGGTTTCAGACACTGGGTAAGGGTGTGTCTGAAACGCACAAGTGTGTCCCTGCTTCTAGGGAGTCCCCAGAACACAGCAGGCACCCGCACAGACCTTCCACACGGATGGCTCACTCTTCTCCACGCACCAGTAAAGATCACCCAGCCAGGAGGACTGGACTTGGCCCTGGGACACCTGGTGGTCTCCTGCTTCGGTCTGGATGCCCCCGTGAAGTCGTAAAGGCCCCCAGGTGGACCCAAGGAAAGCGGGGAGGAGAGGGCTTCCTCGTGGGGCTCCAGAAACCAGGCACTCGGGCCCCTGCCTCTGCGAGACGTGTTCACTCATTTTGCGGGGTCCCCAGTCTCTGCAAAGCACAGCACCGACGCAAGGCTGGTCTCTCTGCTTCGCAGGACTCGGTGGTGACATGGGCCGATGGTGGAGGTGCAGGCACCACGGCCTTCCTGCTCCCCACTGGGGTGGAACCTGCAAAGCTCCTTCGTTGAAGTGGTCACTCCCAGTACCTTGGAATGTGACTTATTTGGAGACAGGGTGTTTGAGAGGCCCTGAAGTAAAAGGAAGCCATCGGGGTAGCCCTAATCCAATCCGACTGGCATCCACATAAGGAGAGGAGATGAGACACAGACATTCCCAGAGGGAGGACCACATAATGACATGGAGGAGACGCCATCTGCCCACGATTCCTGTCCCTGGAGCATTGCAGTGAGGCCGGTGTGGGGCAGCCTCAGGGGCGTCCACACCAGGTGAGACGGGGGGTCCAGAGAGACGACGGGCTTGAGGGGTCCTCACCCTGCACCTGCAGCACCAAAAACTCACCGAGGCCCTCAGGGTCCTCCTTCCCGCACCAGCGGTTCTCTTGCACTTTCTCCTCACTCGGGACTCAAGGGGCCACCCAGAGCAGCCACCGCAGGCGCCCTGCATGGCTAGAGGGGCCGCCAGGGTCCATGCTCCCGGAGCCTTCTCAGCTCCAATGCAGAAAGCGTGGGAAAGAAAGACGTATTCCGGGGTTTGTGCATCACAGGCTTAGGCTCTGAGGGGAGTGGAAGTACCAGGGCGGAGAGGAACCTTCAGCAAAGATCCCACGTGGCAGAGGCTGAGCTGGAGAGGGTGACCTCAGCAGGGAAGTGAGGAGAGCACAGAGCAGCCAACCAGTTCCTGGCAGCTTTGGGACCGTGTCTTCTGGGGACTGTGGCCAGGTTCAGGCTCAGCCCTCACCCTTGGTGGTGACTCCGAGGCCGGCAGAGCCCCAAGTCAGCCTGTCCTGGGCAGGCACAAGGGTCCCACAGCAGGGTCACCCGGAGTCCCCAAGCTGGGCACCCTAAGGGGTGTCACCAGAGGAAACACTTGGGTCTGTGGCTGAGGCTGAGGACCTGGCTGGGCAGAGGCCCCCATGGCCTTCATGCCTCTGAGAAAGGGTCAGAAAACTCCTGATGATGGAGGTTAAACAGCCGTGGTCCCTGGGGCATGGAGGCCTGAATGCCACTGAGCCAAGTTATGTGGAAACAAGGAAGGCAGCATCCAGCACCACTGCCCATGGGAGACTGTGGGCGTGACCAGGTCCTGCAGGGTTGCAGAGGATGCCCAGGGGACCGGCAGCCCGGGGCTTGCAGGAGGGACCCCAGGCCCACTGAGCTGCAACTTATCAATTAAACCCAAGGATTCAGGCCACGTGGTCCCAGATGTGAAGTCGAGCCCCAAAGCCACTATCAGACTTTGGGATCCCAGCCAGGTCACCGGCCTCCCTGCTCCCGGCTCCCTCCTGGTCCAACATGGACTGGGGGTCTGAGGAGTCCACGAAGCTATGTGCTCGCTGCTCAGACACTCACCCCCACACGTGCTGTCACTGGCGGCTGGGCTCATAATTGGAAACAGACCCATGTGACTCAGAGGAAGCCAGCACTGCCCCAGCTCACGCAGGCCCTCCTCGGAGCTTTAACAAGGGGCTAGCTTCCTGTGAGCCCCACTGTGTCCCACTGACATGTCAGCCACACCGCTGAGTTCATCCAGCCAGGGTGTCTTGGAAGGTTCTGTTCCCACGCACGTAGCCAACAGCACCAGGCTACACACACACGTGTGGACACACATACACACACACACATGTGCGCACACACATCCACACGCACATGCACACACACGTGCATGCACATACACACCCACACACGTGCACACACACGCGTGTACACTCGTACACGCACATGGACACACACACGTACACACATACACATGCACACATCCGTGGACACACACACACACATGCACACATGCGCACACACACGCACACGCACATCGAGCTCCCATCAGCCCCTCGCGGCCACCCAGGACACAGGATCACAGTGAGCTGCAGTGACCACTCAGGGCTCCCAACGCCCGTTCCGGGGACCCTTGCTGGGGACTCTGCTTTGGAAAATGCAACAGAGAACAGACGTCTGCAGAGGCAGCCGCACAACTCCCTCACTCCCGG
Source organism: Homo sapiens (assembly GCF_000001405.40). Lineage (NCBI taxonomy): Eukaryota > Metazoa > Chordata > Mammalia > Primates > Hominidae > Homo > Homo sapiens. The sequence continues at coordinate 46,080,117 of NC_000021.9, forward strand.
GGAGGTGCAGCCCCTGCTCTGTGGGCTCAAGAGGAGGTGTGCCACAGAGGTGCTGTGGGGGTGGCATGGATGTGCCTTGTGGGTGCCCCGGGGGGTGCTGTGGGGGTTCCCTGGGGGTGTCAAGGGGTGGGCCACATGGGCGAGCCCCCGATGGCGTGTTGCGCTGCTCCCAGACTTGTCCTGTCAGCGTGGCTGCCGCCCATTCTCCTCGCGTCCCCCCCTCCTCCCTGGAACCAGGTCCAGATGTGAGGTTCTGCCCTCGTGGCCACCAGCCTCCCAGCAGATGACCAGGAAGTCGCTGTGAGCATCTCACGGGGATGGAGAAGCACATTCAGTGAGTGTCAGGAGGATGTCAGCCTAGACTGGGTGAGGTCCCAGGTGCAGCCCCGTGGGTCATAAACAGCAGCTAAACCTGCAGGGCCCAGGGCGGTGCAGCTGCCGAGGCACAGAAGACGACAAGGGGCACTGGCAGGAGGCCCCCGAGCGCCTGGGCTGTACATGCAGATAAAAGCAGCAGACACGTGGCCTCACCAGCTCCCACTGCAGCCCAGCCTGCAGGCCAGGAGTCTGGGGCTCAGCCAGTCTCACGCAGCAACTGCAGCCTGGTCCCGGGCCCGGGGGGACGGCCGTCTCCAAGCTCACTCGGCTGACAGCCAACCTGTTCCCGGTTCCCGGCAGCTTTGGGACTGTGTCTTCTGGGGACTGTGGCCAGGCTCAGCCCTCACCCTTGGCAACAGTCCCCCAGCCCCTCACAGGAGTCCCCAGGTGCTTCCAACCCTACAACTTCTCTTCTGGCCCCACTCGAGGTGCCATAGGCCTCCCGTCATGAGGCCAGGTCCACCCAGTGACCTCCCACCTAAGGTCAACTGATGAGCACCCCAACTACTCTGAAAACGGGATGTCACAGAGCAGGAGTGACGCCGGGGTACAGACCCAGGCCACCCAGTCTCCTGCCCACCACCGAGGAGAGGACGCTGAATGGGGCTTCTGAGGCCAAGTGCGCCAACGCAGACACTGCGTAGCCCCAGAGGCCTCGGGGACAACGGGATGAGGAGGGCACTCGAAGGCGCCCGGCACACGGCCGTCTCCTTCGTGCACCAGGACCTCCTCCCGAGCTCAGACACAGAAGGCCTGCTCTGCAGAAAACATGGGTGTCTGACCATTACCAGTCACTCACTAATAGCCCAAATTCCTTCCTGATAAATGTGCCGTGACACATTCACCTGGACCTAGCCACCTTCGGAACATTTTCTCCGAGTGACAAATATGACTGCACGGCCCGGGCTCTGGAAAGTGTGTCATGTACAGGAACGGCCGAGGTCGTTTAGCTGGCGTGGGGGTGGGCACGGCCCTGCATCCCCCCAGCAGTGAGGCAGGGACAGACTGTGAAGCCTCCCCCAGGCCCCACTGAAGACCCCCCGGTCCCCAACCCTAGGGACTGAGGGGTGGGCCCAGAGCAGGGACAGGGGAGCCTCAGGGTCTCTGCAGCTGGGGCCTCCCAGCGCTCCCCCTGGCAGGTGGCCTGGGCCAGGGCAGCTGACTCAGAGCCCCGGATGGCAGGGAGGCCCGAACCAGCTGTGGCACCCACGGCCGCACCCGACAGCCATGGAAACTTCCCGACAGCAGTCGCTGTTTCACAGCTGAGGAGGAGAGGGGAGCAGCCCAGGGGCCCTGCAGCAGGTGCCATGTGGACTCGGCCCAGCCGTCCAGGACCGGAAGAGCAGGCGCAGCCACTGGAGGGCTACGGATTCCAGGGCTTAGAAGGAGGTGCCGGCGGCTCCCAGGGAGCAGGCCATTTGCTTGTTCTCAGCAGCCCCTACCACGGGACAGTGAGAACCTTCACACCACACGGAGGAACCCGCAAGACACGCATGCCCCTCTCACGGGTGGGGAAACTGAGGCACCCAGGGAGCAAATGACTTGCCTCAGGTCAGGCAGAGGATGAATGGGGTCCTTCATGCCCTGTCTCTCCCAGGCTCTGAGTAGCTGAGCGCCGTTGGCCGAGGCAGCCTGGGAATAGGGAGGCAACAGGAGCCTGGACGGCAAAGAGGGGGTGAGCGGTCAGCTCCCCCGACCCCTCCACAGACCCCGTCCACCGTGCAGGGCCCCAGAGCCCAGGGTCCAGAGGCCGCCCCTCAAACACACTGTGGCTTTGCAGTCCCTGGAGGCTGCCGTGCGTGTCTGCTGTGGGCGGTACAAGGACGGGGGACAGCAGCCCCCCGAGGCCAGGCCAGGTGGGGGCAGGGGTCCTGCAGATGCAACCTCGGGGCTCCCGTCAGGGCGGCTCTCAGGGTCAACAGCCCGGCCCACCCTCCCCAGGCAACCGTTCACCCCGCCTCAGTCACGGCTTGGACGACGACGCTCGCTGCTCAGCCATCGTGGTGTGACCCCGGGAGGCTGTGGTCAGTCCCAGAGTGAGCAGGCCTGGGGGTGCTGTGCCCCCTCCTGGCAGGGACCCACCCACTTGATCTCTCTTCCCATCTGACCCTTGCTCCCCAGAGACCCTCCCAGTCCCGACCTGTCCCACAGGCTGGGCCTTGACAGAGAAGCCAGGTGGGCTAGAGGGTCCTCTCACTTTGGGCCTCTGTGTCCCTGGGGTGCCACGCCTGGGACTGTCCACACCAACTGCAGGGGAGAGAAGCTCAGGAGGACTCAGGACCTGGCAATGCCAAGAAAATGACCCCCTCCTCCAGGAAGGCCACTGGGCTTCCACTCAGGTGGGGAGGCTGGGTGACCAGTCCCTGGGACGTGAGCTGAGGCCAGAAGACATGCTGGCAGGGATCGGGGCCTTGAGCATTCGTGGGGGCAGAGTGGGGCGCCTGATAAAGGGGGTCTCTGAGCTGGTGGGAGGGGGCCCCTGGAGAGCTGGGTGGGGTGGGGGACTCAGAGTCTTGTCCAGAGGGACCTGAGCTTGGAAGAGGTGACCTGGGGGGCAGCCGGGCAGGCAAGGTGCTCCCAGCCTGCAGGCCATCGTCACCATCCAGGTCTTATTGGGAGGCCCTGGGCCGCACCCAGCAGCCCTCCCCCGCCTGCCACCACATCTGCACGTGCGGGGATCTAATAAGTGAGTTGGGTAATTGGGTGCGTTGAGCAGGGAGGGGGCCACATGTTGCTGGTCTCACCCTCGACCGCATCTGCTTACTGAGAGGAGGTTTGCCCGGTGGAGTCTCCACAGGGCCCTCCAAGGCTGGGCCTCAGACCCTGGGGGAGGGCAGGCGGCAGCCTCCAGGGAGTCCTGACTCGGGAGAAATTGAGGGGCCCCTGTGGCATTTCGGTTAAACCAGCCCCAGAAAATCCCACCCCTGCGACGACTGTGGGCCCCGGAATCAGGCCCTCTCGAAGTGGCTTCCAGCTCACAAGTTCATAGCCACCCCCCGGCTGCCGCCCACAGCACCGCGCCCTCCACGCGGGGCTGCACGTTTGTTCCGGGTCTCAAGGCTGTTAATCCTCAGGACAGCTGGTTCTGTTTAGGGCTTGATTTGTCCGACAATTTAAAATTTTCTTCCTGCCGGAAAGCGGCTCCTTCAAAGGGAAGAGAGGCTTCTCTGCGGCCGACGTCGCTGAGTCTTCCAAGACCTCAGCCCACAGAGCGGGAGGGGCCCAGAGGGCAGCGTGAGTGCCTCAGACCACGGGAGGGAGCTGCCCAGGAGCCAGGAGGACCAGTGCCCCCAAAGAAACGCAACAGGGCACGCAGCCCCACCACGCCCCACTCCTCCCGACCTCAAGGAACAGAGCAGGCAGGAGTGGGAGGGAGGCGCAGACAAGGCCTGTGTCCTGGGCCTGTAGGGGAGAAGCTGGGGAGAGCAGGCCCTGTACCCTGAGGATGTGGAATGGGCGCCCCACCGCAGATGGCTCCTAGGGTCCCTTCCAGGCGGTATTCCTAATTTCTGGGCATGTGTCATCCCTGTGGCTCGGCTGCACGGGCTGTGAGCTGCTCCCGATGCCTGTGGAACAGGGGGCTGCTCCCCACCCCCGCCAACATACAGGGCAGCGGAGATGCAAGCAGCAATAGCCTGACTTTGAGGCTGGATGTCCAGTCTCTGGGTCCGAACCCATCCCAGGCGAGCTGTGGTCCCAGACCCCCTAGTGCAGCTCTGGGGGGGACCCAGGGCCCTGTCTTGAGCTCTGTGACGTCCCCTCCCCTCTGAAACTGGCAACTGGTCCCAGGCAGTGTGACCACCCCACACCCGGCCCTGTGGCTGCTGTGAGTGCCCTCTGACCCTGCCCTGTGGTGGCTTCCTGTGAGCAGCGGCAGCAGACCCATCTGCTCCCGTGTTCCCGTC